>NC_000006.12:363030-514545 GCF_000001405.40 Homo sapiens | reverse complement strand
ATGGATTTACTCATTTTAGTAGAAAATGAGCATCTGATAGAATTTGTTAAGAAAGTTAAACCACAGAGCAACTCTCTCTATGTTTCCTGTTTTCTACTCTTGAGGTCATAAATGCCATCTCTGTGACTTTCTCCCAAAACCAGGATAGAACCTTCAAGATAAAAGGTACTTGGTAAATATTGGGTAATCATCTCCAATTTTCTTAACCACCTTCTCTTAGTAAGCAGCAAAAACTAACCCCAGAATACTTACAGGGCAGCTTAGTAGTTAGTAATAAATAGTTACTATTTGTTCTAAACCTTCAAGGTGGAAAAATTTTGAGTGTTCATTGAAAACAACTTGAACATTTCCTAAGAGACCACAGTAAAAGGGTTACTTGTCGGCCTGGAAGAGGCAGAGAAGACCTATCACACCCCTTTCTTTTACAGCCAAGGAAACTGAAGTCCAGACGAAACACTGTCTACAGCCGTCAAGGAGCATTTGGTTGACAAACTGGGACTTCTGCCTCTGCCTCCTAACACTTTTCAAAAGTATATCATTTTTCAGCAAGCTAATCAATGTGCTTAAACTCTACATTGTATCAAGAGTCTAAAAATAGTACAATTAGCATAAAAAGCTCAGTTTGTGGCTAGATTTTTAAGTGTGTGGAGCAAGAGACATCAACAAAGCAGTTTGTGTCTATGGGAGCAAATTAAAGGCAATGTTATTAAAATCCTTATATTGCAGAGGATATTTACTTGAGACTTAGATTCTTTTTGTATCAATTTACTTCAGTTTTCTCATAATATCACATACTAATAATCAAAATGTTTGAGTGACAACCAGAGTAAATTCATAAATGTAATATATCTGAAAACCCATTTTTCTTTTTTGAAATTGCTGTCATTTCTGGTTGCAAATGGTGTGACAGCCTATGATTACAGTAATAGGGACTTTAAGGATTATACATAGAATGCATGTGACTTTTAGCAAGTTTGTGTATTGAAGGAATTTAATAAGAGGTTTTATGGAATCACAAAAGCTACCTTCATGGACTTTAAATATGATGGATATGAAAGAAACTAATATTCTTGTACTCTACGGTCGGGTTGTATTAATGAAAAGAAAAATTGGTGTGTGTGCTTGGACTTTCGTTTCTTCTCATTTTCCTCCTTGGTTTGTGCTGGGGCTTCCTTTTTCATATTCTGCTAAGGAAAACAGGTTCGGCAGATCATTTAGCCTCACTGGGGCTGTGCTGCTCGTGGACACGTGGGCCGTGTGCAGCCGCACTGCACGTAAACCGTGGGTGACCACGCCGTGCTCTTGGTACGGCACGTGGTCTGGCTCTTCCCCACGGGGACTGGAGCACACTGAAGATAACACACATGCAGTGACCCAGTTCCATTCCAGCCTGTGACCCAAGAGAATGAGTGTTTATGCCCGCCAAAAGACACCACCAGCTGCATTCATAACGGCTCTGCTGGAAATACCTGAAAATGGGAGCTGGGAAACATAGAGTCGCAGAGTCGGCCTATTTTGTGGGGTTTAAGCGTCCATTGTTGAAAATAAAATGCCAGACGACATTTTGCTTTGGTTCATATTGAAAACCTCATGGATTTATTCAGGTATTTCATTTGGTCCATTTTCAAATGAAAATATTTTACAGTTTACTTACTGCTTTCACATACATTCTTGTATGTTATCTTCACACCAACCGTGTTGGGGTTAGATACTGTTTTCCCCATGTGGCAAATTTTTAAAATTTGGAGAATCAAGAAAGGCTGTGTAACTTGCTCAAATAAGGGAACTAGGCCCAACTTTTCATCTCCAATTCTAACTTTATCACTCTTACCAAGAAACATGTACAGGGCATGGGTCAGACCACGGGGCTAACAATACGGTGTCGTTTTGTATATCTTCATGTTTGTAAATACAGCAGACCCCTGTACGACAGATAGTTGGGGTGCCAACCTGCTGTACAGTCTGAAATCTTTGTTTACCCCCAGAATTTAACTAGGAATAGCCTGCTGTTGCCCAGATGACTTATTAATAACATAAACAGTCTGTTACATATTTTACGTATATACTATATTCTGTATTCTTAAAGTAAGCTAGAGAAAAGAAAATGCTATTAAGAAAATCATAAGAAAGGAAAATACATTTACTACTCATGAAGTGGAAGTGGATCATCATAAAGGTCTTCATCCTCATCTTCACATTGAGTAGGCTGAGGAGGAAGAGGAGGATCGGAGCTGGTTTAGCTGTGTCAGGGGCAGCAGAGGCATGAGAAAACCCACCTATGGGTGGACCCACGCGGTTCAAACCTGTATTGTTCGTGGACCAACTGGAATTGAGTTTGCAAAGTACTGTGGGCCTTCCTCAGTCCCAGGTGCTGTTAACAGAGCTGAGAAGGGGCTCAAGGACCATGGCCTGGTGGCCCTCCCCTGCTGACAAAAGGGCAGTGGCTTAACCCCAAGGAAGAAGACTGTGTGTGTATATGCACCTTGCCCTTCTGACAAACACCAACCCATGAGGGAGAGTTTCCAAGTATGGCAAAGCTGTGAATGAACGATAAAGATACCAGGAAGAGTAAAGGGGTTGCACTTATTTTTGGATAAAGCATCTGCACAACAGTGTACCAGGCACGAAGCAACAGATGTGGCGGAGTGATGCGAGTGATCATTGATACTGAAGACGGGAGAACAGATGAGTCATTGCTAATAGAATCTCAAGAGAAATAACAAGCAACATGGAATTCAGTATTTGAATGAGATTTTCTTAGAAAAAGAAACAAGTCTATGAAACGAGGCACTGTTCCTGCCCTTGCTGCCCTGAGCCTGTGGGCCTCATTGGTGACATCCTTGGAGTGCACTCTAAGCTGGCCTTGCAGCTTTAGAAACGCAGGCCCCTGCAGGTGAGCGGCTTGTCCCGCTCGGGCTGGGTTCAATCCAGATGCCCCCGTGCAGCCCTCTCTTGGCCTCACACTTCAATGTCGTCAGTCCCAACAGGGTGCAAGGCCAGTGCTTTGTGGTTTTAGCCATCTAAACAGATGTGTGGCATATTCAAAAATTAGTCTCCTTAAATGTATGCATTTCTACCTAGATTTCTTACTCTGTAAATGGGACTTTAAAATCCCAGTTAGCAATTGGGTTTTCATATTTTTTTTTTGCCTTCCATTTTATTATGACTCAAAATTGTTTTTAATTTCAAGGTGTTTTCTTTTTGGAAGGTTTTACGGCTATTTCTTCAATTGCATATGGACCCCCGCTATATTGAGAATAGGAGCTATACCCTATTACTTCTTTCCCGTGCTCCACGGTAATGACTGCAGTCAAAGGGGTGCGGGACCCGCTCAGCAGCAGGCACGGCACTGCCTGGCATTTTGCACCATCTTGCGTGCCAGGCCATGGCAGGAACCCTTCCCAGCATTCACTCGTGTAGCCACAGGGACCACGCAGGAAAATAGGGGTCAGGACCCCAGCTGCTTCCAGACCTGCTTCTCTCATAGCAGTCATTGGTTTTGATCTCAGCTCATTAAAATCTTTAAAAACAAAAACAAAACACCTTCTTGAAATTGTGAAAATCAACAGTTAACCCAGGCCTGTTTATGAAGTAGTATGTCCAGAAGTAACACCTCACAGTGCAAAACAAACGCATTCATCTGCATGTATAGAATGAATCCTGTTTTCTTGTCACTTTCACTTTTCTAACTGAAGTTTCCTTGTAATGAAAAAAAAATTTCTGACAAAAAACTAAATTCAAACAAATGGTTTGTCTGTTTATATTAAGTTAATTAACTTTCTACCTTTATGTCTAAAATTCAGTGTATCAAGTTTGTGAAACGTATTCTATGCTAAGTGTGTAATGAGTTCTGTGACATCTTATGTTAGGATAATTCATGGTCTGTTCTACACATCAGACTTTACATTTTGAAATGAGAGGGGAGAGTTTTTTCCACTTGCGTATATTTGAGTCTTGAAAGCTGTTTGTCTATGAAGTTTATGAATCTAAACTCTTATGAATATAAAGTCTTTCTTACAGATGGGAAAAAATAAACCATGTAACCATTTCACTGTTATTTTCACTGTTGGCAATGTTTTCTCTTTTCTCGAGGAAAGAGTTTTCCTATTGAGATTGATCACGCTGATCAATAAGAGATCCTACTGATGAAAGCAATGAAAAAAAAAATCCTGGGATGGAAAACAGAAAGCAGGAGAGGGCGAAGGTACCCATTCATGTGCTACATAGGAAGGGTGTCCTTTCCTCAAATAGTCATTGAAAAAATCCACTTTAGGGCAAAAGACATTTATCAATTTGGGAATGAGGGCACTAAAACCTGACGAAGGGGAACTTAAAACTCTTTAGTTAGTCCAACAAGAGCTGATTTTGCTGCAGAATGGTTAGGACTTTCTCTCTGTTCTACTAATAGTGATACAGTTTCTGGTTATCTTTTTCTTTTTTTTAATTAGGCAGTAATTTCGATAATGTGTGTTCAGAGTGTAATTGAATAGATAATTCACTTGAAAAAAATACACCAAAGTTTTTTCAGTAGTGTTTCAGTTTGACAATAAAAAAAAGTACATTGTGGGATATTTATAGTATTTTTGAATCTATTTTTACCAGTAGACTGGGAGTGATAACTGATTTGGGGCATAGGGGTTAAAAACAGGAAATGTGGTTTATACAGTAGGTAGTATCTCCAGAGTTTCCAGGGTTGATTTCTTATAGTATTGTCTGAAGAGTGTTATGCGTCAAAACAACATTAGGCCGAGTACCTTGAAATCCGCCTGTGTTTAAAGGAGCCGTCTTTCCAATTACAACAGGAAATGCTTCATGGAAAAGTTTGCATTCTTGGTATAGGTTAAGATGGCATAGCAGTTGTTTATTGTAATTACAACACGTTCTTCCTCTCCAGCACTTTTCAGACACTTTTTATACAGTCAGAGTAAATCTTGTGTCACTTCTAGTAAATTTCCTTCAATTTTCGTATTAAAATTTTATTTTATTTTCATGAAAAGTTTTGTCAAATAGCTGTTAAGAATGTTTTAAAATAGACTATCATAGCTGAGGAGGAGCATATATTAGGGATACTGTTAATTACAGTAATCAGAGAATCCAAGTTAAGAGGATAAAAAGGCATGAAGAAATAGGAGTATAATTCTGTGTGGCCTTTTGCATGATAGGTTGGCAGAATCCATGAAAACTGAATAGCTTGATTACCTTTGCACTCAGCAATTCCACTTCTGGGAAGATATCTTACATAAACTGTTGTATTAGAATCCAAGAATCTATGTTTATTGCAGCATTATTTATGGTAGTAAATTGAAAGGCAACATAAGTTCCCCATAGTAGGAGAATGGTCAAATAGATTATGATACATCCATGCTAGAATACTAAGCAGCCATCAAAAATTATAAGGTAGATACGTATGCACTGAAGAGCAAACAGGTTGTTTGCTTAAGTCAAAGACCTTCACAGACAACTTACCAAAGTAAATATGCAGATGGAGAATAAGCATATGAAAAGATGTTCCACATTGTGTGTCATTAGGGAATTGCAAATTAAAACAACAGTAAGATACCATTGCACACCTAGTAGAATGGCCAAAATCCAGAACACTGAAAACACCAACTGCTGGTGAGCATGTGGAGCACCAGGATCTCTCCTTCATTGCTAGTGGGACTACAGAATTACCCAGCCACTTTGGAAGACAGTTTGGCAGCCTCTTACGAAACTAGACATCCTCTTACCATATAATCCATGATTGGCACCACTTGGCATTTAGCCAAGGGAGTGGAAAAGTTACATCCACACAAAAACCTGCACACCAATGCTTGTAGCAATCTTATTCATAATTGCCAAAACTTGGAAGCAACCAAGTAATCCTTCAGTAGGTGAATAAATGTGTTACGGTCCATCTGGAAAATGAATATTACTCGGCACTAAGATGAAATGAGCAAGGCATGGAAGGAACCTTAAATGCATGTTACTAAGTGAAATAAGATAAACTGAAAAGGCTGCATATTGTGTGATTCCAACTATACGACACTCTGTAACAGGAGAAACTATGGAGAGATTAAAAAGATCAGTGGTTGTCGGGGGTTACTGGGGAAGGAGGGAGCACAGAGGAGTTTTAGGGCAGTGAAGCTACTGTGTGTGTTACCGTAACGGTTGGTACCTGTCGTTATATATTTGTCCAAACCTGTAACATGTACACCACCAAAATTGACCCTAATGTAAACTGTGGAATTTGGGTAATAATGACACATGTCAGTGTAGGTCTTTCGACTGTAACAAATGCACCCCTCTGGTGGGGATGCTGACAGTTGGGGCGGCCGTGTGTATGTGGTGGCGGGCGGGACGGCATATGTGAAATCTCTGCACCTTCTGCTCAGTTTTGCTGTGAAACTCAAACTGCTCTAAAAAGTATAGTCAATTAAAAAATTGTTATAGATTACAGAATGAAATTTAGCAAGTTTCAAGAAGAGAATGTGTAACATCTCATTTTTTAGGAAAAAAATATATTCATAGGAAAAGATCTGGAAGAACATACACTAACCTGTCAATAGTGGTTATTCCTAAGAAGGATGAAAGAGGAGTTTATTGGGCAACTGTGTTCTTTACAATGAGCATTTAATTACTCAGTTTTCTGAATAAAAAATTAAGGACGAAGACTTGGTGAATCCAAAGTGTTCAATATTTTATTCTTTAATGTCGACCTTCTCTAATGAGGTTTCTCCAAATTATTAAGAAGAAGAAGAATCCTGTCTGCCTGTAGAACACTTTTTATTTTACAAAGCATTTTCCCATAAAGAAAATCAGAAGCTCAGATTAACTGATTTTCCAGCTAAGATTTAAATCCAGGTCATTCCAATACATAGCTAAACATTATGTGGTATCAGGTACTGCTGGGCATTATTCCCATGAGATCAGCACTAAAGGAACACGAGCACCCACATGCAAAGGGGATCATTTTTTCATGAATGATTCTCATCAAGCAAAAGCCCTCTCTTTCTCATGTAAGCTTTGCTGTTTGCCTGAACAATTGTATTTCATGCATTTGCTTTCTTGCACTGTTTAAAGACAGTGTAAGATTCTTCTCTCCCATGTGCAAGATGGTCATTTGTCATATTAAACCTGGGTGTGTCCCTACTAGAGTGCAATCCCTGGGAGTGCAGGAGCACTCTGTGTGTGTGTGTGTGTGTGTGGGGTCACTGCTGTGGTGTGTGTGGGGGGGGTCACTTCTTTGTGTGTGTGTGTGTGTGTGTGTGTAGTCACTGCTGTGTGTGTGTGTGTAGTCACTGCTGTGTGTGTGTGGGGGGGTCACTGCTGTGTGTGTGTGTGTGTGTGGTCACTGCTGTGTGTGTGTGTGGGGGGGGTCACTGCTGTGTGTGTGGGTGGGGGGGTCACTTCTTGTGTGTGTGTGTGTATGTGTGTGTGTATGTGTGTAGTCACTGCTGTGTGTGTGTGTGTATGTAGTCACTGCTGTGTGTGTGTGTGTGGGATCACTGCTCTGTGTGTGTGTGTGTGTGGTCACTGCTGTGTGTGTGTGTGTAGTCCCTGCTATATCCCCAGCCCCTGGAAAAGTGTCCTGCATGTAATAATAATGGACACTCAGGAAGTATTTTTAATAGTGTGCCAGTTTGCCTGTTCCAAAATCAAGTGACCTTCCTATATGATTAAAAGAGGAAACTGACAAATATACCAAGAAAGAAGGCTGCTCTACTATTTTGATGCATGAAAACAAGATCTTCGTTGCTGGAGAATATGCTGGGTTACACCGGCTGGCTTACAGGAAACAGCCTACAAGTTCTTGCTCAGTAGAGATGAGCCTTGTTTTCTCCATGGGGAATTTCCACACGGGGCTACTAGATTAATTGCTAAGTGGTAGTAGTCTAGGTTGATACTGTGTGGGTGGGGACACTTTTTGTCAAATATCATGACACATTCTAATTTCATATTCAGACAGTGGAGGAGATACATGTTGTAAATGCTTAGAAACTGTTTCTCATTCCCTCGCTTGAACAACATGGAAAGTTGTGGGGGTTTATTGAAGGGGAACCTTTTTAAAAACAGTACTTATTACTGCAGCATAATAATGTAGCCTTTAACTCCAAGGAGCAAATCCGTTTGCCTTGTATTTTTCTTGGCACACTGTCCACACTGATGATCCCTCCCTAATACTGTGTGCACCATACATTTGGCATTGTATGGCCCACTGTTGTTGGAGCACAAACTGAAACTTAGGTTTCCCTGCACACTTACGTGTTCACTCCATCCTGATATACCTGGACATCTTCCTAATATCCAGCACGTGCGGAGCATTCAGCAAATACCTAATGACATTATTTCAGTATATTGCTGGAAAAATAAAGCATATTTTGGAAAGCAAATAGATTAAGCCTCAGCAATATTCTATACTACTGTACTTACTTTATTCAAACTATATTTTTCAAATGGATCCTGATGCTCAAAAGGACTGTCTTTGTGAGAAGCGAGAGATTGTATGCTTTCCCAAGGAATACCTTCTTTCCATGTATGCCGAGGCACTTACTTTTAGTAGATGACGCAGATATATTCTGACTTGAGCATTATAGAATTCTACATATATTTAGGTTTTTCTCTGATGTGTTTATTCCCTCATTCATTCACTTATCAACTGCATAAGTCTTCAGAACTTAGTAGTGAGCAAGACAGACATGGTCTTTGCCTTCCTTTGTTTGTCATTCACGGATATTTTTGAACATCTTGTGCCATCTGTGTGCCAACCTCTGTGATGGGAGCTGAGGCTATGATGAGAAGGAGAATGGCAGATGATCCCTGTGCTGTGGAGTGTACGGTCCAATAGGAGAGACAGTTGTTCACTGAGTGATCACACAAAGGACTGCAGAGCTGCCCCAGTGGGACCGGGGACACAGTGCCCAGGAGGACAACGGTGGATCCAGGCAGCACCTGGGAATGCAGAGTGGGGTGGGGCGGGGCCGTCCTAACACCTCCCGCTTGTTGGCTGCCTGCTGTCTGGCGGATGCCTCCCTAGCCTCTTAAAAACGTTATTCCACTTAAATGTTGTCTCTGTTTTACAAAGGAGAAAGCTACAAGTCAGAGCAGTCCAGAAACTTGCCCCCAGGTGACTACTCAGTAATGAGTGTCTGAGGCCCAGTCTAATTCTGTCTGTGTCCCCCGATCCTCTTCGCTCAGGCCACGGCTCAGATGTCGCCACAGAAGCAAAGTCTTCCCCAGCCATCACCGGCATTTGACATTGAGCCATTCTCAACACCAGTGCAAAGTATGGTGAGAGTTGAACGGAAATTCTAACTTCCAAGGACTATGTATGAAACCAGCAAAATGAGGAGTACTGTCAAGGACAAACGTTTCCAGTTCTAGCACATCACAGCCATATTTCATGTTGTATTCGTGTTTTTTTTTTCTGCCGTTGTTGTGTTCCTATATGCAAACTCAACTGTTAGCCATTCCTTGTACCACTCAAAAGAATTAATGTACAGCCAGGATCTGCAGCAGCTAGACAGTCATGGCAGGACCATTGTCCAAACTTAATACCTTGCATTTCAGAAAGAGAAATCAGTGTGCTGTTTCTAGTCATTATGCTTTTTAGTCAACTGTTATGTCTTTAATTTTAAATTAACACCTGAAATATGTGTACTACTTTAGAATTGGCAAGATGCTCCTCCCCACTGACCTGTAAGCTCTCTTAGGGTGGGGGGTCCTGTCTGTTTTGCCCACTTTCTTATATCACCACCTGTTGATGCCCAGCACATGATAGATACACAGCACGTGTTGGAAGAATGGGGGAATTGCACACACGTGGCATTTTCATAACAGCTTCGTTAGCAAAATGGGTCTCGTGATCTGTCTGTTTCGCAGAGTAGGCAGTTGTCTGAAAGATAAGCTGAGTTGTGGAAGGTCATACGATTGGTGTAGGGTTAGCCAGGAAATTCCATCTCAAGTGTTCTTTCTGTCACCTCAATAAACTTAAAAGGAATTATCAAGCACTAACGTTACTGATAGTGACATTGGAATGAAATTCAATGGGAGGAGGACATATGCCACCAAAAATAATTGCAGCATGGCCCCTCTGTCACCGTCACTGGCCCTTTGAAAAAGGTTCTGTCACCAAAAATCAGATTCTGGTCCTGCCGCCAGGAGCCACAACTGAGGTCCTTTGAAACTCATCCCACACATCGTTCTGCCATCACCGCGAGGCCTCAGCCGCTTCCATAACGGATGCACACGGAGCCCCTCTCTGACGGCCTCTGCCTCACCTTCTCCGTCTGACCTCCCATTTAAGGAAGAGACTGCGAGGCCGCAGGCGAGCCCTGCATCACCGTACGTCACCGTCCCAGCCCCTGCCTGGTCTGGGCCTCCTCTCAGTGTTCGCATGTGCATGCCTTTACCCTGGCTGCCAGCACCTTCCTCTGCCCAGTCGGGAAAGCACGTGGCTACTGCTTTTGCCAACGGTGTTGGCCGTCAGAGCTGCATGGAGCCAGCGAGCCGGGCCACCCCAGCACCTGTCCCAGCACGGGCTTCTTTGGACACAGGTGTTTGAAAGAGCTGACATCCTCCCACAGACAGATTTTGGATAACATTTTGAAACAGAAAACAAGCAATTGGAAGTGAGTGCTTTATGGGAGTAAAAGTCTTACTTGGACCCAAGAGCCCACGGGACAGGCTGAGGAGGAAGGCGAGGGTGCGGGCGTGCTACTCGGCTGGTCTCTCCCTAGGCCAGTACCCAGCTGTGGCCGGAGTGAAGAGAGAAAGGAAGCGAAATTCTGAACGAGGAAGACCACAGAGATCTTACCGGTTTCCCAGACACGGACACTATCTGGTCTCTAGGCCCTTTGCCCTTCCTCTGTTCCTATCCAGTACTATTCTTTAACCGTTTAAGGACTTCACAAAATAAATATAGCAACCAAACATATAACAAATTATTTTAAATTGAAGTATAAATTTTTTTATGTTTAGTTTTTGTGGGTTCATAGTAGGTGTATACACTTAGCAGTTACAAGAGAGATTTTGATACAGGCTTGCAAATGCGTAATAAATAAATACCACATCATCAGGGCAAATGCGTAATAAATACCACATCAGGGTAAATGGGGCAAAGATGTTTTTTACAACATGAAATTCTTTCATATGGCCATCCTGCATATATTGGCAGGTCAAACTTGTAATAACTAAGCACTTTGGGGTCTTACATATACTGGAGATGTATACGTGTTCTACTTGGAGCACCATATGCCTTGAGCACCTCTGCCATGTGCCTAGTGGCATCCTCCATGTAGTAGGATCTCAATGAATTTATGTTAGTTGAATGAATGAGAACTTTTAGCCATTCCCTTAGAATGAACAATTTCAGCCCAATCGGTAATAAAAAAAAAAAAAAGTACTTGCTCCTGTATTTAATTCAGCGATTAGCTTTTTGGAGAGAGACCATCAATGATTTATTTTTATATTAAAGTTTTTGTTACCAAAAATTATAATACCAGCACAGGCACTGCACTGGGAGGTTATGATGGCAGCTCGCAGAGCTCCGCCTCACTCCGGCCCTTTCCGATGCATCCAGTTGAATGCTGCCTCTTTGAACCTCACTGGCCTGATGTGTGGTTTGACTAGCGGTACCACTTCCTGTCCACACAGGACCACACATTTTTCCCTTCTCTTTTTCCAACATTACCAGTTATTTGTATGAAGCAGTTATTTCGTTTTTTTGTGTGAGGGGAAAGAAGGCAATTATTTCCTTTTTTTCATTCAAAAAGATAAAATCTAGAAATACAAAAGTTCTTTCTTGTCCAAGGTTACGTCTTTGAGCTCCTTATATTATCCATGTGAAACCTGTGCTCGACCCAAAATAGGAAGCTTGATTTTTTTTTTCCAAATTT
This sequence comes from Homo sapiens, assembly GCF_000001405.40. Lineage (NCBI taxonomy): Eukaryota > Metazoa > Chordata > Mammalia > Primates > Hominidae > Homo > Homo sapiens. The sequence continues at coordinate 502,669 of NC_000006.12, read as the reverse complement.
TCTGCCCACAAAAATATGGTTCTTTTGGTTCAAAGGGTCCTGTGCCTTTATTCTTCCCATTCATAGCTTTGTCTTCAGAATTGCATTGAGCAGTTTACACTTCACCTCTTTTACGGGGTGTCTTATTAGTAATGCTTAGGCGGGTGGGTTCTTGCCAGGAAGTGTTTATGATGTCGGGGTCCGAGTGGGAGTTGAGTTCACAGCAGGCTGTCACTGAGCATGTGACACCGCCTGGCTTCACTCTAAGTATAATTTTCTGCTTTTTAGTCAGCACTCTGCCCCCACTCTTTTCTTTTACATTGAGGAATTTCAAAAGTTAAAAACTGCCTTCGCATTTCCAGTCATCCTTGCACCGTAGCACATCGTTAGAGCCCCAAATCCTGACACTTGTTCTTGCAGGAGTGTTGACAGGACCCCGGTTCTCACTGAGGGCAGAGGCTGTGAATTTTTTATTCTGTTCCTTAGAGCATCGAAAATAGCAGCTTACTATTGTGCTTCGATTTTCAGTAAGTATGTATGTTACCTGTGCGTCTACATGAGCTGGTCCTCCATGGCGTGCGGCTTAGAGACCAGACCTGAGCATGTGGATCTCCGCCCCTGGGTGGGGCTGCCCAGAGGGTATGAGCGGCGAGGCCAGGCCCCAGTGCCCCCACAGCAGCGGGAGCAGTCTGGGGACACCGGGGGGTGTGGCTTTCCTCCTGCGGGAAGAAAGCCTCTCTGGTCTCCAGACGAGTTCGTTTATTTCACTTTCACTTACAACAGGCTCTTTCTGTTCTTCTCTCCTGCCTCCTAGATAAGACTTCTTACCTTGCAATTATCCTTTTTCTCAGGAAGAATCCATTAATTTCTGGATTATATTGAATTACTCTTCACTCAGCCATCTCAGCAAAATAGACTTAATAAGCACACTGTTTTTGTTTTGAGGAGCCAATATATATACATAGATAGATATATCTTTTATATAGAGATATATATATCTTTTATAGATATATATATCTTTTATAGATAGATATATCTATCTATATATATCGATATATATAGATATATAATATATAGATATATAATATATATAATATAATATAGATATTATATATAGATATATATAATATATATAGATATATATAATATATAGATATATATAATATATATAGATATATATAATATATAGATATATATAATATATATAGATATATATAATATATATAGATATATATAATATATAGATATATATAATATATATAGATATATATAATATATAGATATATATAATATATATAGATATATATAATATATATATATAGATATATATAATATATAGATATATATAATATATATAGATATATATAATATATATAGATATATATAATATATAGATATATATAATATATATAGATATATATAATATATAGATATATATAATATATATAGATATATATAATATATATAGATATATATAATATATATATAATATATATAGATATATATAATATATAGATATATATAATATATATAGATATATATAATATATATAGATATATATAATATATATAGATATATATAATATATATATCTTTTGAGGAGCCAATAGATATATAGATATATAGATATATATAGATATGTATATCTATATGTCTCTATATATATCTCGATATATACCTATGCCCTTGATATTGATCTGTATATGAAATTGGCTCCTCAAAAGAAAAACCGTGTCCTTATTTGTATACCGTAGTGTGTGACACAATCAAAACCTAGTTCTATATTTGGAATATGCAAATGCCCGTTCAAAAGGTTGATTATAGTTCTTGATCTCTATCTCAACTTTCCCAACTAACCAGTAGCGTGGATGAGACTCTGGGAGAATATTTTCCTTAATGTTGTTACTGGGAACATCCATGCTTTTACAGTGCAGCATTTTCCCTGTTCTATAGAGGAGATGTTCTCAGTGTGTGCAGCTCTAGAAGGCATCTGGAATCTCCCACTTCAAGGGAAAGGAATTGTTTTGGAAACACAATAAAACAGTATTTTGTTTTTATGGGGTTTTTTTCCTGCAAAATGATGATAATGAAAGCTCTTAGTGAACGCTGTGAATGCCAGGACCTATGGCATGCATCCCCCTTCATCCTCACTGCAGCCCCCCAAGGGTGGGACAATTATTATTCTCCTGTGACAGATGAGAAAACTGAGGCTCACAGCCTTCTTGCCAAAAGTCACAACTAGCAGCTGTCGAAACTGGGGTTTGGTCCCCAATAGTCAGACCTCAGACCCCACATTCTTAAATCCTGTGTGTTTCTGCTTTTGAGCAAAGTGAGGCTCATTGAACTTGTACCTAAAATCTGATGTTTTATTTTGTCCAGGCTTTAACTTGCTTACAGAATCAAATTCAGTTTTATAAGGAGTTTCTCCTAAAAGTGATTCCTTAAGACAAAAATGGTCCTTCTGCTCAATAACTTGACTTTCACCTTTGGTAGTAAGATGCTATAATTGATATTTAATGTGCATTTTATAAGCATTGTTAAACACCCTCTGTATTTTGTGTTACTGCTTATACTGAGTGTGTGTGTGTGTTTTACAGTATATATGTTTTACCGTATATGTTTTACAGTGTGTATATGTTTTACAGTATATATAGATACTTATCTATATATATTCTCTGTGTGTGTGTGCGTGAAGAAACTGAAGAACATTCTTAAATTTTCATTTTGAGGCCGACTGAGAGCCAGTTATAGAGAACATAAACAGTGACAGAAATGAAAAACAATAAAAGAAAACTTCTCATTTCTTTTTTTTTCTTTTTGACCTGTATGGAAATACTCCTTTCACCATTTGATTCTCAAAAGGAAATAGTGGTGGTGTTACTTTCTGTTTCTCCTCAGAAAACTCTAAAGCATGGGGTACAGCCTGCCAGCAGGGGAGGGGAGCTTGTGTTATTATTAATGCCTTCTTTCTCTCCTTTATTTCAATTTCAGGTGTCAGAAACTATTTAAAAGAAGCACTGGTGAATATAATTGCCGTGCATGCAGAGGTAAAGTATCATTAGATGTTCCTAAGAGATATGGATAACCAAAAAAAAGAAAAAAGAAAGATGTAAATTTGATTATTTCTATGGTGGTCTTTTTTTTCCCTCAGAATGTGTCTTGGGTATAAATAAGATACAGTTCAGCTCTTGCTCGCACTGTCTGTCTCTCTCTGTCTCTGTGTGTGTGTGTGTGTGTGTGTGTGTGTGTGTGTGTGTGTGTTTAACTGTGAGTCTTTCTCTGAAATTGTATGTTTTCTTTGATAATTCCAGCTAAATTCATAAATATTTGAAAGGTGAAGATAGATTGCAAGGATGTTTATCCTTCAAAGAATAGTAAATCCCTTATCTTGGAAAATGAATTAACCTCTTTTTAGCCTGTGTACAAATAAGCACTGGTATCTGATTCCTGTAGCAGTGGCTGGGATTCCAGAAAGGCAGACACTGCTTAGAAAGAGACTCGGGGCAGGCCGACACTGGAACAGATGCGTGGTTTCCTGTCCGTGGTTGACTTAGGGTCATGCAGACAGTATTGGTGCTTCTGGGCCATGCGAAAACTTGCTCTCACTTGACACGCTTTCATCTTAAGCTTTGTGTTAACATCCTCAGTGAACATCCTGGTTAGGAGGACTCTTCTGAGGAACATTGAAAGAAGAGACCAGAGCTACCACCATGATCTATGGCTGCCTGTTTTCATTCAGTCATTTCAGGATTTGTTACTCACTGCTTTGCCAACACTTTGAGAGTGGCTGTGGCTCACAGACTAATGGGGGACCAGATAAAGTGGGGCAGATCAAAGAGGCTACCATTCAGTCGTTTCCACCGTTGCCCAGGTGCCTCTTGGGCGACAAGCATCCAAGAAGGGTGTTTTTAGGTTTATGCCGCCTGCTGCATCCAAAAGTATCTGAGGCCATCAAGGTAAACTGAAAAAACATGGTTAATTAAGAGTGAAACCCGAATATGACCAGGGAAGACAAAGATAACACTACCTGGTTCCTAAATTTGGCTAGAAGTTTGAAGCGCCAAGAGCAGAAAGAAAACTATAGAACGTTACAGTTTCCAGTTCTTATGAAAGGGAAACATACAAATTCATCTCTAACAATAGAGTTTTTATATGATTTAACTCAGGCAGGAAGTCACCACATAGATCTTTTTATAAGGAGCAATATTTTTAATTGTGATCTTATAAAAAATATAAAAATTCTGTTTTTGTTATGGTAGCATCCTATAGAATTTGAGCCCAAAGTGCAAATTTAGGTGCAGTTGTTGCAAGCATTTCTTCGGTAGGTGGGCAGAACTGTGAGATCTGTGGAAATTGTAGTGATGGTGCTGATTCCTAGTGAGGCAGCTTTTATTAATGTCTATTATCAATTGCCATGGGCTTATAATGACTGAAAGGAGAATTTCATTCATAGTATTTACTATTTGCTACATAATCTTAAATTGCCAAAAATTTCCTTGGACACTCAAGTTATGTTTGGGTTAATTCAAATATTTAATGCTAGTGGCTCAATCTGAAAAAAGGAAAAGCTTAAAAAGAAAATATGATTTACTGTCATTTATGAGTCAGCAGAGTCAGATGTTTCAGTAAATCTCCAAAGACAGTAACTCTCAGTTTGAAAGTCTCAAACTTTAAGGTTTGAAAATAATGTAAGTCAAATAAAATGAAATACATATTGAGTACAGTATGTGTAAAATTGTGGAGGGGGGGCTTGTTCTCCAATACAGAATGGGGTACCCCATATGAAATGGTGTTTGTCAGAGTTTAAGGAGAGTCTGACACAATATTTTTTTAAATTGTGGTAAAATATTGACCCAGTATGTTCTTATTTCTCTAATTTCTTCTTTAGAGATGTTTCTTTCCAGTGAAAGGGGCAAGAGGCAAAAGAAATGTTCAAAACAGTTTTTATTTTGTCAACATCAGTAATGCCTTTCAAAATTATATTTGCCAATATTGTATTTTTAAGAGAATTTTTGTTGTTAATCAGTCAATAGAATTTAAATATAAGTCTGTATCTTCCTTTCATTTATAATTTTGGCCTTTTAAAAATGACTTAGAAGTCCTGTTGATTTTCTTTTGTTTTGTTTTGAATGTTAACTTTGTCTTTAACAAATTCAAGTCAAAAAGCCCCACAAAGCACCATGTCTTCCTATTTCAAACCAGGTGTTCACCATTTCCAAAGAACTGGTCCCTCGGGTACTATCCAAGGTGATAGAAGCAGTTTCTGAAGAGCTCAGTCGACTGATGCAGTGTGTTTCATCCTTCAGCAAAAATGGAGCTTTACAGGTAACAAAATCATTCAATTTCATATTGAACTTCTGTTGTTATTTAAAGCATATAAAATGTTTTTAGTCATCAATCTTATGATATGACAGGCTTCTTTTAATGGATCTACTGATTGAAGAAGTTCATATTCTTTCTTGCATAAGCCATACCCATGAAGCATTGTCTACAAGTTTCAGAGTTTCTGTTTCTTTACAGTAGAGCAAGATCTTAAAGACTTCTGCCAAATTATCTGAATGCAGAATCCTTCAAAAGTTTTGTGATTTTTATTTTTATTTTCCAACTATCTTCATGACATTCCATTCCGCAGGAAATTTTTAACAACTTGCTTTTAATAAGTCTTTTGAAAGCATTCAGTGCAGTTTGCATAGAAACAACAAATAACTGTCTCTTTTGTTTAAATTACATAATTATAACTGCCGTAAACACCAGTTGACTTTGGCATGCACATAACCAGCTGGTAGTTGCTAGGCATGCCTGCAGATGGAAGCGTGCACTTCTGCCTGGGAGCTCCTCATGTGATGGCTGGCAGCGTGGCAGTGAGTTTCAAAAAGCAGTGCCCTTCGTCCAGCCATGGCTGAGGAAGCTCCTATCAGGCCAGCCCACCACAAATAACAACTGTAAACTTAAATATCAAAAAATAAAATTTTTTTTTTAATTTTGAAAAAATCCCTGAAGACACCAGAGAACGACCATTGGTGGGCAGATTCTAGAGGAAATGGCACCCGCATGAATTTCTTATTTCTTATGGATTTTAACCTAAAGCCAGGTCCAGGAGTGCCTAAAACTCCAAGACAAAACGTGCTTTCTGGCTTGAAAAACAGGCTTTGGAGCAGCCACAACTACGGCTAGGTGAGAGAGGTATCCCATAGAGGAGTCTCTCCATATGCATGGTCCGACTCCACTCCAGCCAGCCCAGCGAAGGCTAGAAGAACTGAAGTAAGAATTGGATGCTGCCCAAGAGCCAAGAGTTAGAGTCCAAATAAGTTAACTGCTTGCTAAAACAAACAAATAAAAAATCAACAGTCCTTAGAGATATATTACAGAATCCAGAGTCTCCACAGCATAACATTCACAATGTCCGGGATGCAAATTTAATTGAATTCAAATTTAATTGAAATGCACAAATAACTGGGAAAACACGACTTATTCCTAATACAAAACATGATCACCTGAAGCCACCCTTAAGATGACCCAGGTATTGGAATTAGCAGACAAGGATTTTAACACAGCGGCATCAGATGATGTAAAGGAAACTGCGCTCCTCATAAATCAGTAGGTGGGAAATCTCGGCGGAGAAATAGAAACCCTAAAACAGGAACTAAATGGAATTTCTGGAATGGAAAAACACAGTAGATGAATTTTTAAAAATCTACTAGATGATAATAATAGATTTTTTAAAAAGTCAGTTAACTTGTAAACCAATAGAAATTATCCAGTATGAACAACAGAAATAAGGATAATTGGGGGAAAAAAGCAAGCGGAGCTCTCGACCCGTGGGACAATGTCTCAATATCCAGCATGCATGTAATTAGATTTTCAAAAGTGTAAGAATGACCCATCAGCCACATGAAAGGATGAACAACATCGTTAGTTAGCAGGGAAATGAAAATTAACACTACAATGCGATGCCATCACACATCCATCAGGATAAAAATTAAAGACTGACTCTAGTAGACGTCGGCAAGAATGTGATGGAACTAGAGCTCTCACACGTCATCGAGGACGCGATGCAGCAACTGCTTAGGGAAGAGCTCCTGCACTTTCTTCTCAAGCTAAACATACACATACGTACCCTATGACCCAGCTATTCCGATCCTAGTTATTTAAGCAAGAGAACTGAAAACGTATTTTCAGTTTCGTATATGTTGTATAAATGTTACAAAACATTTGTAAGAATGTTCACCATGGGTTCGAGACACAAAACATATTTATAAGAATGTTCAGGCCGGGCGCGGTGGCTCACACCTGTAATCCCAGCACTTTGGGAGGCCGAGGCGGGCGGATCACGAGGTCAGGAGATCGAGACCATCCTGGCTAACACGGTGAAACCCGTCTCTACTAAAAATACAAAAAATTAGCCGGGCGCGGTGGCGGGCGCCTGTAGTCCCAGCTACTCGGGAGGCTGAGGCAGGAGAATGGCGTGAACCCTGGAGGTGGAGCTCGCAGTGAGCCGAGATCGCACCACTGCAGTCTGGCCTGGACGAAAGAGCGAGACTCCGTCTCAAAAAAAAAAAAAAAAGAATGTTCACCATGGGTTCGAGAGGAGCCTGGGCAACATAGTAACACCTTGTCTCTACAAAAAAAAAAAAAAATTGTTTTAATTATCCAAGTGTGGTGCTGTGTGCCTGTGGTCCCAGCTGTTTGGGAGGCTAAGGTGGGAGGCTTGCTTGAGCCCAGGAAGTCAAGGCTGCAGTGAACTGTGATCGTGCTACTGCATCCAGACTGGGCGACAGAGTGACACCCTTTCTCAAAAAAATAAGAATGTTCGTAGTCAATTTTATTCATAATCAAAAACTGAAAACCCAGGTGTCCATCAATACAGTAAATAAACTAATATATTCATACAGTCAAATACTATTCCACATTAAAGAGAATAAATTACTGATACAGCACAGTGAATCCCAGGAGCATTATGCGAAATGAAGGAATCCTTACACAGACATATACGTATACTGTATAGTTTTCATTTACATGAAGTTCTAGAACAAATAAAACTAACTGTGATGAGAAACTCAGAACAGTGGCTTCCTGTGGGTGGTGGGGGTTCCTAGGGTGGGGCCTTAGGGATCGTCACAGGGTGCTGGTTCTGTATTGTGATCTGGGTTTCCATCACAGGTGTATACATCAGTCAAAACTCATCAAATGCCACACTTCGAGATTTGTCTGTTGTGTAGTATGTACATTCTAACTATAAAAAAAAAAAAACGGGTGCAAATAGTCCACTGTAGTTAATGATATGCACACTGAAGTGGATCAGAACTACAGGACTGAGTGACGGATGGAAGCCATGTGGTCATGTGAGGCTGTGTTACTGGGAGAGCCTGTGAGTAAACAGGCATTCACTGTAAAGTTCTTTCAGAGCCTCCATACATTTGAAATTTTTTCAAAATACATATTTGGGAAAGAAAAAGAGCAGAGAGCACTTGTTAATTTGGTTAGGGGAGAATCTGTTGCAAAAGCTTCTGCTGTGTTTCCATTTGCCACCAGTTTTCTCTGAAAATTGATGTATCAGATCTTTGATATTATCGTTTAAGTTGAAAGGTCATGGTTATTATAATAGTTCCATCACAGGAGATGAGTAGTATAAACTGTGTAATACTACAGATGAATTAACAGGCAGTCGCAGTCGCTACTGTGGGCCTTAGCAGTCTTAGAATTTTAACAGGCATCCGCCCTCTCTACACATTACCTCCGTAATCCATTTATCTGATGGCTAAACCACTCTCAAAACCAGCAGGGAGAGGTTGGAAAGTGATCTCAGAATTAGCTGGAAAATTTTTTCACGTACACATGTCCAGAAACTACTGGCCATCAAACTGTTCCAGCCTCCAGTTTTTGAGACCTCCTCGGGCCTGGACAGACATGTGTATTTTGAAAAAGGTCGTGAGTCTAAACTCCCGCTTCACTCTCCCACTGAGAATGACTTTGAGAGCTTCCTTCCTTGAGGCCATAGCTCTAAGAGGGATAGCAGGTTAACCTTTGATAGGCAATTAGGTGCCAAACTCCAGAACTGTCCTGAGAGCTTGGTGAAAAGGGGAGTGACAGTTTGGTGATTTTGGCAGATCTTTTAGCATGATGTTTTCTGGATTACAGTTTTGTAGGTATTATATAGCTAACCACAGTTTTTATAATTGGCATAACTTACAGGTTAATTAAAACACTCTATCACCTTGATTGAATAAAATTTCTACCAGAAGATTGGTTTTGTAGTAATTTAATCTTTCTCCTAAAATGGTCAGCTGAAAGTTCTACCTTTTTTCCTGGTAGGTCTGTTTTTACCTATACTAGAATATAAACAAAATAGAGACAGAAATTGTCATACTTTCTAGCATTTGTAACTTTCTAGTTATATACTGTTTTTCAGGCTTCTAAGGGACTGAAAAAATGAAACCAAACAATTGCCTTCCAAACAGAAAAAGGTCACTGAATATCCTGTGTCATATATATCTGCTTTGATCTAGATGGCTTACAGAATTTCTAATAAACTGTGAAGAGCTGGCTGTGTCTTTTGTCATTGTTTTATGTTTTGTCCACTCCTTGAGAATAAGGGATATTTCTTTTAAATGTTCTCCTGTGTGTCCCACTCACTGTGGGCACCTACTTCAGAACATCAAGTTATCATTGTCAGTGGGTCTGCTGGAGCTCCCAGGAAACTGACTTGTATGTCAGATCACACTTATTCATGCTTGCGTAGAAGTGAAAGCTTAACTTTTTTCTTAAAACTTTTATGAAATATTTCACATAGCATACGATCTGTCTACAATAGAAAAAGAATATGCAATTCAATGATTTTTGGTATATTCAAAGAGCTGTCCAGTCATCACCATCATCAATTTTAGAACATTTCATCCCAAAAGAAACCCCTGACCCATTAAGTCTAATCATTTGCCTCCCAAACCACCCTTTCCCCCTACAGACAACTACCAATTGGCTTTCTATCTCTATGATTTGTCTACTCTGAAAATTTCGTATAAATGGAAACATGAAAATATGACCCTTTGTGACTGGCTTCTTTCATGTAGCGTAATGTTTCAGGGTTCATCCATGTTGTGACATATGCCAGTGCCTCGCTTCTTTTTACATATAATATTCCACTTTAAATATGCCACATTTTATTTATCCATTCATCAGCTGATGGGCATTTGTGGTTTTCCCACCTTTGATTAATATGCAGAATGCTTCTGTGAACACTCCTATACAAGTTCTTGTGTGGACATGTGTTTTCATGTCTCGTGCGTGCATACCAAGGAGCGGAATTGCTAGGTCATGTGGTTACTCTATACTTAATCTTCTGAGGAACTGCCAGACGGTTCTCCAAAGTGGCAGACATTCCTACCAGCAATTTTTGAGGGTTCCAATGTCTCTACATCCTCACCATTATTTGTTATTGTCTCTTATTGATTATAGCCATCCTAGTGGGTGTGAAGTGATACCTCATTCTGTGGGTCGTCCTTTCACATTCTGGATGGTGTCTTTGTAGCACTGGATTTTTAATTTTGGTGAAGTCCACTTTATCTGTTTTGTTGTTTATACTTTCGGCATGATTTCTAAGAAGGGTTTCCTAGCCTAAGGTCACAAAGATTTACACTGGGTTTCTTCTGATAGTTTCATAAGTTTCTTACATTTAGATCTGTGATCCGTGTTAATTTTTGTGTTAAGGAAAGGATTCAACTTCATTCTTCTGCATGTGGATATCCAGTTGCCCTAGCACCATTTGTTGAACAGACTGTTCTTCCCCCACTGAGTGGTCTTGGCACCCTTGTTGAATAGCAGTTGATCATAAATATGAGGGTATACAATATTTAAATATATTTTAGCTTTGGAGTATGGCTGAAGTCAGAAAGTCTGAGGCCTCTAAATGTGTTACTCTAAGATTGTTTTGGCTGTTCTGAGTGCCTTGCATTTCCTTATGAATTTTACAATCAGCTTGCCAGTTTCCATTAAGGAAAAAAAAAGCAGCTGTGATTTTAATAGAGATTGCATTGAATCCATAGAGCAGAGTTTAGGTTTTGAGATTAAGGCAGTGTGCCTGCAAGGGCATAGGTGTCAGGAAGCATGCCAAGCCACATCCTTACCTCTGTGGGACACGGGCCCTTTCAGGGCAGTGTTTCAAAGTGTCTTTCCTCTTGCAAGACTAAAAGAAAAATTAGTGGTTAGAGAGTAAATACAGATGGCTGGAAAATCATGACACAGTTTGTACTTTTCATAGTGAGATATCTAGTTCCCTGCCCTCACACAGTCATCCTTGACTACAAGTTAATTTTCAGTCAACGAACATTTTGTGGTAGCAAATTTCTTCGGACTGTTTTAGAAACTCTACTCATGACTGGCGGTCACCATGGTGGTATTACGCCAACCCCATCCTACGATGAGCAGGCTGGAGACCCTTAACCTTAGTACTTGTTTATATTTGATAATATAAATTTTCCTGTTGTCACTTTGTCTTTTTCTCATTTTCAGGCGAGACTTGAAATCTGTGCTTTGAGGGACACTGTGGCTGTTTACCTGACACCCGAAAGCAAGTAAGTGGCAGTGTTCTTTAGTTGAGTGCTCTATTAAAAATAAAGGTTGTCTTACTAGTCAATTCTGTCCTCTGTAAAGATGACTGATCAGAGCACATGCTCATGAATTTGTGATGTGATAAAGTTTATGTCAAGGCCACTTTGTAACACAATGTAAATGAAAGGGGTTTAATATAATTTTTTCATTTACTACTGACAAATCTTAGTCTTATAATACAGCAGAGTATGACATACTTCTTAAAGCAAAAGAGGATAAGAACTGAGTCTTAGTCTGTTCATAGCAGACTCTGAAGGACAGCTCAAGTGCTGTAAATATCAGTATAAGAGGAAGCCTTGTGGTTTCTCTGCAAAATTTTGTAGTGGAAATTTGATAATTTTTAGCTGTTTTGAATGAAAGTCAGGATTTCCTACCATTGAAATATCAGTAGGTGAAGTGAAGCAGAACTACTGTTTGTCTGTGCAAAATTGTTTACTACGTGGGCAACATTACCTAGGAAATACTGGGTTATAGTGTTGATGTGCCTGAGAAGCCAAGTCGTATGCAAATGAAATGTTTGAGGACACTGTAATATGCTTACTCACTCATTTCCAGCATCTGATAACATGGCTTGCTGTCATTCTGTCAGCTTTGCAACTGAAAATACGTTTTCCATTTTTTCCTAACCAATGAAGTTAGCCTTTCATTCCCGTCGGTCACAGCTCACCAGCAGCCATTTTTAGTGGGCCATGTTCACTGTTGAGCCACACCTTTTCCCAGCCATCGTTTGTCTGTACAACATACTAACAGGATGGAAAGCACCCAGCCCATGTTGGATGTGTGCACACTTCATGCAAATGCCTACCCTCTTCCTGCTGACTTAGTTTTAGAGTATAAGGTACTCATCTATAGAGGAAGTTTAAAATATTCTAGGCAAGCTTTTGAGGGTGTTAAATGAGAAAATGTGCCAAATCACTTTTTAATTTTCAGTACCCTGCCAATAATATGTAGTATGTTTATCATTATTGTCATACTGTCAAAACAATTACATCACATTTCTTTCAATTAATCAAAAAGAGGTTCATAAGAAACAAGCTGATGGTGGAGGTAGCGGCAGTGGCTTCCACACCAGGAAAGAGGCCGCTGAATGTGGGAAGGGACCCGAGTGCGCCAAGCCACCCGTCCCACACCCCACCGCGCCCTCCCGGGAGCAGCTGGAGATGCCCAGCACCGGGTTTTATGACTCTGTTGGAACTTTTCAGTCTTTCTCTCTGTTGCTGTGACACTTGCCCCTGATTTGAGGAATATTGCTCAAAAACGTATTTCCTGGTAGATTGAGGATGTTTTTACAATATAAAAGCAACGACCCCCTAAAGTCAAGAATTGCAGTATTTCTTCACCTTAACCAATCATAAGAGAGATAAAAGAACTGTTCCTTTGTGAATGGTACAAGTTAATTACCACAGTCTCCCCTATGATGCTTTTCATTTGGTTTGGTAATTTTTCTAATACTTTCTCCTTGTAAAAGCTAAACATCCCACAGTTTTCTTTTTAAAATTCTTTCCTTTTACCTTCATGTAAAGAACTTACATTGAATTTTTAAAGCATCTATATAGCTCTCCATTTTTCTACAAGTTTTAAGTAGACTGTAATTATTACAAGACATTGGCTGTAGATCAGGCCCTGTGCAGGCCAAATACTGTAAACACCCCACTGTGTCATCTTTCAGAAGGTCATCCCCATTTCTTAGAGTAACTGGATTATCCCCAGCTGCTTGTTTTGAAAAGACTCCTTTTAAATTAAACATGTTCACATTAAGCTCTCCTCTATCACTAGCATCCTTTCGAAGATGTTTTTCCTTTAGCTTTTCAAGTAGCGTTTCATTTCCTATTTGAGTTTTTCTGACCCCGTTGCTACAAAGCCTCCACCTGGTAGCTACACCTTCGCTTTTACTTTTACTTTTTCTATTGTTTTTCACTTTTACTTTTTCTCATATTTCCTTGCTTCACTGGCTTTTATTGGCTTCTCAATAATTAAGGGATGCTTAAGAATTTGTCAGCAGTTCTCCTGTGCAAGGCTTCAACTTCAGTGTGGCTGTTTGTGTTTCAGGTCAAGTTTTAAGCAGGCTTTGGAAGCCCTGCCCCAGCTTTCCAGTGGAGCAGATAAAAAGTAAGTCCTGTGTGCTGTTCTTAGGAGCCAGTTGAATGTGCTCAACAAGGTTTTGTTTCCTAAAATACCTTTTAAAAATAATGATTTGGATTCTAGGAAGAGCAGAATCCAAATAAGAATCAGAATAAGCAGATATACCTACTTAATAGCGTTAGTAGGTACATCTCGTCACCTGTAACTTGCATGTCTTCTGAGTGACAGAATAAGGTAAGACCTTTCTTCTGGGTTTAGGAGAATTTAGAAGTTGGCTCTCGTTTCAAGTGACTGGTATAGAAAAGGTCTTAAGAAAGCTATCTATGACTTATTCAGTAAACTGTATTAGTAGCATACATAAGAAGTAATGGAAAAAAGAAGACAGCATAGTAAAATGCAGGAGTCGGTGATTTTTTTTTTAATTTTTGAGTAATTCAGTAGTATTTATTTTGTGTTCTATAAAATACAAAATGTTATGAAAGTAGATGTGCACATATGGCATAATAAAGTTTTATATATACATATATATTTCATTAGACCACACTGATGATCTCAACCTGAATTTAAACTTTACTACTCATAGAACAGGAAACGGACCTAAGAGAAAATCTAGGCCAGGTAAATTTCATAAATGCCCAGGCTCCCCCGAGCTGAGGCAGTCTTCATTCCTTCACCACCCGCCCTGCACGTGGCTGCCGGGCCCATAGACAGGCACATGTGGTGCACTGACTGAAATGCTGGCACCGTGAATGCAGTGCAGACTCAGTGCAGGGCAGAGAGATCACATAGGCTGGGCCATGGGGGGGAGCTGTCACATGGCATCGACGCACAGAGCAGGCAGCAGACCAGCCCTTCCACCATCAGTCCCCGGGGGCATCGCCGCCCCGCCCCGCACGCATCCCACGTGGGCACATGGCAGCTGTGCAGACAGTGCCTGCACAATCAGCCCTTTCTTCCTTTTTCTTGCTGCTTCTCTAACTTCCATCCTCTATTTGAATTGGTTCCAAACCCTGTTCATTTCTTTAAAATAAATATGATAAAAGATTGAAACAGTCACTGCTACGTTTCATATGTGGAACAGGGCTCAAAAGGTAGTGTGTCACGAACAATACACACCCTGAAATGGCCCCAGGTCAGGACTATATTTTAGATTTGCTGTGGGGATAGCATTCTAATATTGAACATTGTTAAACCGTGAAATAATCTCTTGACCTCAGTACTGTTAAACCCAGTTCTTGGTTGCTGCATCCAAACCAGGAAAACTCTAAGATCCTTCCTAGCTTTAAAAATTAGATGACTTGGGCCGGGCGCAGTGGCTCATGCCTGTAATCCCAGCACTTTGGGAGGCTGAGGTGGGCGGATCACGACTTCAGGAAATCAAGACCATCCTGGCCAACATGGTAAAACCCCGTCTCTACTAAAAATACAAAAATTAGCCGGGTGTGGTGGCGGGCACCTGTAGTTTCAGCTACTCAGGAGGCTGAGGCAGGAGAATTGCTTGAATCCGGGAGGTGGAGGTTGCAGTGAGCCGAAATCGCGCCACTGCACTCCAGCCTGGGCGACAGAGCAAAACTCCATCTGAAAAAAAGAAAAAAAATTAGATGACTGTATCACATCAGTTGGGGAAACAGATTGCGATATCAGGCAGCAAAGCGATTTGCCTAGTGGAATTAGCCCCTAACCCTGCTTGCCCTGGTGGTTAACTCACTGCTTTCGCTCCCCACTCTCTAATACCTGTTAATACAAAATGAGAGGAAGGGAAAGTCAGCAGTGGCTGCTGGGAGATGGGGTTAGGGAAGAGGCTGACTAGAGGGGCAGCAGGGGAAAGGGTGCAGCCATGCCACGTGCTGTAGCCTGTTACACTCCGGTATGGCTTTGCCAGCGTTCATAGAACCATCTAACAAAAAGTGAATTTGAAGGTGTGTAAATTATTTTAGAGTTGAATTTCTAAAAAAGAATAGGCCCAAACATCAGTCTGTATTAGGGAGGAATCTAATCTTGGGAGGGGATAGGAAGGAGATGTTTCTGTACAAACATAAATACGTTATCAGTATATCCTATTTGATCAACTTCTTTGATGTGTTTCTTTTGCTGAGTTAAGGATCCATAGGTAGAACTTTTCAGCTGCCTTCTCCACACAGCAAGCCCAGGCAGAGCCGGGCACTGGCTCCCCTGGTGTTTTCTTGCGTTGCTAGGCCGCCCCATCTGTCGGGCTGTAAAACAAGTGTCTCCGTCCTGCAGGTTACTGGAAGAGCTCCTGAACAAGTTCAAGAGTAGCATGCACTTGCAGCTCACCTGTTTCCAAGCAGCTTCTTCAACCATGATGAAAACATAAATATCTGCCACATAAAAGAAGTCCAGGAAAATAACACGTAATAAGACTGTTCACTCTCTAAGTACCCTAAAGGTATTTGGTGTATTAAACATTGGGTTTGCCATTTTTCTCTTTTTTCTTCCTCTGACTTCGAAAATTGTTGGTATACATTTCAACCAAAATGACCTCATTTGAAATGCCCAGGAAGTATTTGTTTTGCCATTCTTACTAGATCAGATCCTGTATGACTTTAAAATACATTTTAAAATATATTTTGCATCTCAGCAGAAGGTTGAGTGCTGCAGGAAGAGCTGCTTCTGCAGGGAGTTTTCTGGAATGGCGTGGCACATATTGAAGCATTTCTCAGTGTCCCGTTCACGGAAGCGCAGGCAGCTCCCACGACACACGGAGAGACTGACTGATACGAGATTTGGAAAGCTATGTAGACATCTTTGGAGCTCTTACTGTCCTAAACTGTACAGCTGTGCTTAAAACCCTCATTTCATATAAATGGCCTTAAGTTTTCTAATTCAAGCGGGTTTTTGGAAAAATTTATGGTCTCCATTAAAATACATATTACAACTGGGGTAGATTATTTGTGGTCCAGGTGTCTGTGATTTAACTTTGCGTTTTGCTATCTGATTTTTATTTTTCACAGGGCTAAGCATGAGCTTTCATTCTCACTCACTCTTAATTTGTCGTGCGTCACTACACATGCACGTGTTGCAGTCCCTGAGGCCCTGTGTGTTATCTGTGATGGAGTGTGAATGTGTAACGGGCACTGTGTTACACTCTGAGGTGTTGGCGGGGCGGTCGCAGACTTCAGGGTCCCCTAACGGAAAGGCCAGGCTCCGCGTGGACGGCCAACTCCCTGCCCGCTCCTTCAGCAGGTGACTGTCTCTGCCACTTCTTACCTGCTGAAGGATCTTGCTCAGTAGCTGGAACAATGCTGCTGTCACACAGTCTCTTCTCTGAAACTTCAGGATGCTCCTTGGTCACCAGGCAATGGGAGCTGTAGACCAGCCGCATGCACTTGCCCCACATTCACTGCTGACTGGCTTCACTGGAATAGGTTCAGGTCACCGGGACTTCTCTCAGAGTCAGCGGCCCACCCAACTCCCTCATACCGTCGCATCTGAAAATTTTCAGAGAGGAATTCTCTTTGTAGTCGGCTTGTCAGGGTTTTCAAGTTTTTCTATGGTTATTTTTAAATCTCTTTTTTTAAATGCTAAAATTAATGTCCTCATTAATGCAAGTAATTTTAGAGCACAGTGTAGCCATGTACAGTTTCCATTATTTAAAATAAATAAATGTGTTGGTTCATTTGGTGTATGGGGGGACATCATGGTAACTGGAAATGAAAGTTTAATCTTTCACAAATGTGCTTGATAAAGCTGTTAAGAATTGTCTTTCCTAAGTATGTTAACTGTTGTATCTAACTCAACTGTGAGCTAAGTTTAAAAACTGCAATCATGAATGTTTGTGATATTTTAAATATCTACTACAGCACATTCAGCCAATAAAGAATCTGCCTTTAATGTAAGTTGTAATTTACTTGACATTTTTCCCTAAGTGTCTTTATTTCAACATTTTCATATTTCTACTGTTAACACCCAAAATACTTACATTCTGGTTAACCCTGTATTGGTAAACACATTGTCAGAAACCATCTGTCAGGTCCTGCTAATTCTGTTTGCTGGGGACTTACCATGTGCGAGGCACACCATGAAGTGCCTCGTTGAATCCTCACAACAGCCTTATGATACATGTGGGCTAGCTTACCGCCACGTCCATTTAGCAGAGGAAGGAATCAGGGCTTAGAGAGAGGTTGGTGACTTCCGTAAGACTGCAAGGCAGTAAGTAGCAGGACTCATGTTCACACTCTGGCTCTGTATGTCCTTGACTTCACTACTGCTCAGCTCTTCCTTCCAGCGGAATATGCTTTCTGACATCCATCCACCTGGGTCACAGCTCAGAGAAAGTTCATCAATTCCAGAGGCTAATAAACAGTAGCAACACGGAAACCGGTAGTGCTTTTATGGCTCAGAGTGGAAGGTAAAGGCCTAAAAACCCCATACCCAAGTGAGGGAGTTCAAGGACTACTATTCCAACAAGTCAGGGGGGACTTCTTGGAAGAAAGGGGGATTTCAAGAGCTACTTGAGTTACAGAACCCTGGTTTAGTGGGTAAGAGGAGATGAATATGAAATAAGTTAGATGAAAGCCGAGAGAGAAACCAGGACCTGGAGCAAGTTAACGAGGCAGCTGAGAAAACAAATTAGGGAGGTTCAAGGTACTTCAGTGCTCCAGTGGCATTTCATTTCCAGCACACCCATGTTCTTTGTGGGTCACAGCATGGCTTCATGTGAGTTAGCTGAGCTGGCCTCACTTGAATGGGAAAGAGCTATTAGAAATCACTTGGTTTTTTACTAAGACTTTCTTTATCAGTGTACCATGAAAGAGCATATTCTAGAAATGATTTGGGCATTGCAAAACAAGCATCATTGCCTTAGGCTGAGCACACTGACTCATTCTCCTGTCTCTTGTCATCTTTGCATGTAGATTTTTTTAAAGGGAAGAAATAGAAGAGATTATATTTTTATTCTGGATTTGGTACAAGGTGGTGGTGTGTATTTCTGTTTTGATCACGTGCTATGGGATATTCTGTTAGTTTCATAAGCGTGTTGTGTAATGTTTTCAGAAAAGTTACAAATTTTAACTAGTTTTTAAATCAAGATTAGGTTTCTAAAAGTCAAATATATTTTATGTAATATTCATAAAATAATTATGCATAGACTAAACTTGCATACATTTTTGTCACTGAACATTTATCTGTTGGTTCTGTTGCAAAGATTTTCATATAGATCTGTGAACTGCTCTGAAAGATATATTTAATATATCACTCCTCAATTAGAGCAGCAGCCATAATTATTTTAGCTTTGCTTTAAACACAGTTGCATATTACTCTATACTAGGGCCATTATGCTTTTTGTGTGCTGATCTCATCTCATTTCTGCTCCCCCAGAGGAGGATTTATTACATTGAGGTTTATTACGTGTATTACTGGAAAGCCTTTCTGTACCTGGCCAGGTTAGAAATATATAGCAATAAACATCTTACGGACAAGACCTGGGTCTTTGGGTAACTTGTTTGCAGTTTGGCTAATGAAAGGCAGTAGGATATCAGAGTGTCTTTCTCCTGTCTAGGCACAGAAAATCCTAGACAAAGTGGGCAGTGAAGCTTGTCTTGTGCCTTCAACAGTGTTTTACCATGACTGGAAGCCGTTGGTTTTCTTCTTGTGGTCACTGTTGATATTTTCATGGTTGTTATCATTATCATCTCGTCACATGTTAAAAAAAGATTCTCGTACCACCTTCCTACAACCCCTCTAGCCAGACACAAATCCCTGAGAACCAAGACCACTTTATCCACAATGAAGTAAAATAAAATACGTTAGCAACAATTTAATAGGAGATATCAGCAGACATAGAAACAATTTTTAAAATGAAAAATTTAGAACCAAAAAATATAATTTCTGAAATAAAGCAAAAATACTGACTGGGCTTAAATAGCAGTGAGGATAACTGAGGAAAGAGTAAAGGAACTTGAAAATAGACAGATCAACGAGACAAAGTTAACAAGGATACCCAGGAATTGAACTCAGCTCTGCACCAAGTGGACCTAATAGACATCTACAGAACTCTCCACCCCAAATCAACAGAATATACATTCTTTTCAGCACCACACCACACCTATTCCAAAACTGACCACATACTTGGAAGTAAAGCTCTCCTCAGCAAATGTAAAAGAACAGAAATTATAACAAACTATCTCTCAGACCACAGTGCAATCAAACTACAACTCAGGATTAAGAATCTCACTCAAAACCGCTCAACTACATGGAAACTGAACAACCTGCTCCTGAATGACTACTGGGTACATAACGAAATGAAGGCAGAAATAAAGATGTTCTTTCAAACCAACAAGAACAAAGACACAACATACCAGAATCTCTGGGACACATTCAAAGCAGTGTGTAGAGGGAAATTTATAGCACTAAATGCCCACAAGAGAAAGCAGGAAAGATCCAAAATTGGCACCCTAACGTCACAATTAAAAGAACCTGAGAAGCAAGAGCAAACACATTCAAAAGCTAGCAGAAGGCAAGAAATAACTAAAATCAAGAGCAGAACTGAAGGAAATAGACACAAAAAACCCTTCAAAAAAATCAATGAATCCAGGAGCTGGTTTTTTGAAAAGATCAACAAAATCGATAGACCGCTAGCAAGACTAGTAAGACAGAAGAATCAAATAGACGCAATAAAAAATGATAAAGCGGATATCACCACCTATCCCACAGAAATACAAACTACCATCAGAGAACACTACAAACACCTCTACGCAAATAAACTAGAAAATCTAGAAGAAATGGATAAATTCCTCGACACATACACCCTCCCAAGACTAAACCAGGAAGAAGTTGACTCTCTGAATAGACCAATAACAGGCTCTGAAATTGAGGCAATAATTAATAGCTTACCAACCAAAAAAAGTCCAGGACCAGATGGATTCACAGCCGAATTCTACCAGAGGTACAAGGAGGAGCTGGTACCATTTCTTCTGAAATTATTCCAATCAATAGAAAAAGAGGGAATCCTCCCTAACTCATTTTATGAGGCCAGCATCATCCTGATACCAAAGCCTGGCAGAGACAACCAAAAAAGAGAATTTTAGACCAATATCCTTGATGAACATTGATGCAAAAATCCTCAATAAAATACTGGCAAACTGAATCCAGCAGCACATCAAAAAGCTTATCCACCATGATCAAGTGGGCTTCATCCCTGGGATGCAAAGCTGGTTCAATATACACAAATCAATAAATGTAATACAGCATATAAATAGAACCAAAGACAAAAACCACATGATTATCTCAATAGATGCAGAAAAGGCCTTTGACAAAAATTCAACAGCCCTTCATGCTAAAAACTCTCAATAAATTAGGTATTGATGGGACGTATCTCAAAATAATAAGAGCTATCTATCACAAACCCACAGCCAATATCATACTGAATGGGCAAAAACTGGAAGCATTCCCTTTGAAAACTGGCACAAGACAGGGATGGCCTCTCTCACCACTCCTATTCAACATAGTGTTGGAAGTTCTGGCCAGGGCAATTAGGCAGCAGACAAAGGTTTTAATGCACTTTATCCGCAATGAAGTAAAATAAAATATGTTAGCAACAATTTAATAGGAGATATCAGCAGAGACATAGAAACAATTTTTAAAATGAAAAATTTAGAACCGAAAAATACAGTTTCTGAAATAAAGCAAAAATACTGACTGGACTTAAATAGCACAGTGATGATAACTGAGGAAAGAATAAAGGAACTTGAAGATAGATCAGTGGATATTATCCAATATGAAGAATAGAGAGGGAAATGTTTGGGCAAGTTTTCTAGAGACCTGTTCAATATAATCAAATGGTCTTAACACATGGATAATTGTGGTCCTAGAAGGCAAGCAAAGAGAGAATCAGGCAGGAAAAAATATTTGAAGAAATAATGGCTGGCAATTTCCCAAATTTATGGCAGATACAAATTTACAGATTCATAATGCTCAACAAACAGCAAAAAAGATAAAGACAAAAAATGCCACACTGCCATAAACTGTTAAAGCCAAAGCTAAAAAACAGATCTAGTCAGCAGCAGTTGAACAACTACCTGCTACATACAGGAGAAGAACATTGGACTCAACTTCTGGCTTAACATCAGAAATTATGGAGGCCAGAGAGAGTGAAATAGGCATCTTTAAAGTGATAGAAGAAAAAAGCTGTCAATCCAGAGTTCTTCACTTCTAAGTGAAGATACTCTTTCACAGCTAAAGACATTTCTAGATAAAAGAAAACTAAGACAATTTGTTGTCAGCAGACGTGCACTATAAGAAATGTTAAACGAAGTTCTTCAAACGGAAAGGAAATGGTATCTGATGGAAGTGCATATCCTCACAAAGCAATGAAGAGCATTAGAGATGGTAAACAGCTCGGTAAATACAGAATTCTTTCTTTTTGCTTTTTCTTCTTAAAGGTTTTATAATATATGACTGCGAGCTCCAGCGGCACAATCAGTTAGCGTGAGGTACTTATATATGACTGTTTATAAAGTAGTATAGCATTGTCCTGTGGGTTTATAGCCTATATAGATGTAAAATAAGGGGGGGGGGAATGGACCTATATTGGTGCAAGATTTCTACATTTCACATGAAGTGGTAATATATTACATGTAAAGGGACTGTGAAAAGTTAAGGATATATGTTGTAGTCCCCAGAACAATCACTGAAACAATAATGTAGAGGCGTATAGCTAAAAAGCCAGTAAGAAAAGTATAATTGCATTTTTAAAATAGTCGTGTAATTTTAAAAAGGCATAAAAGGAAGAACAGAGAACAGATAGAAAATAACACAATGATATGTCCAGACACAACCATAGCAATAATTTCATTAAACATTAATGGATTCAGCATTTCAATTAAAAGGCAGAGGTTGTCAGAAGGAATAAAGAAGCATGGCCCAACTATATGCTGTATATAAGAGATGAAACTTTATATTTTAAAATGGCGCAGATAGGTTGAAAGGAACCGGATGGGAAAAAAATACACTATGCAAATAGTAAGCATAAAGAAGGCTGGAGTTGCCATATCAATATAAGGTAATGGAGATTTTAAGATAAAAACATCATAACAGAAGGACTTTTCATAAGTATAAAATGGTCACTCAAAGATATAACAATCATGTATGTATCTAGTAACAAAGCATGAAGATCATTAAAATACGTAAGACAAAACTGACAGGATTAAAGGAAAAATGGGCAGTATCATTCTCAGATTGGAAGTTTTAAGCTCCTCTTAGCAGCTGATAGAACTAGATGAAGAAAATCATCAAAGACATAGAAGATCTGAATAATGATTGATATGCTGTGTCATGAAACAAATCTCAAAGAAAATTAAAATTTTCAAATTATGCAGTTCTCTGCCCACAGTGGAATTAAACTGAAAATCAATAACAATAAAATATCAAGAAAAGCCCTAAATATTTGGAAGTTAAAAAGTGCACTTCCAAATACCCCAGGAATCAAAGAGGAAAACACCACAGAAATTAGAAAATATTTGAATTGAATGAAAAGTTAAAACATATCAAAATTTGAGGGATACAGCTATAGGGTGCTTACAGGAAAAGATTTGTAAAACTTCATGCTTACGTTAGAAAACAGATCTACATTCAGTGATCTAAGGTTCCATCTTAAGATATTAACAAATAACAAATTCAACCCCAATCCCAAGTTAGTAGAATGACAGAAATCATAAAGGAAAGGGCAGAAGTCAAGGAAATAGAAAAATGCATAAGCAATAGAGAAAATGAGATCAAAAGACAATGGGCTGGTTTCTCCTTTCAGTTGTCATCAGCTCTGCGCAGTGCTGGCAAAGTCACATGGCCTTTGGCTGTATCTGTTTCCTTGCGTGTAATAAGGGTGGCTGGACTTAAATGATACACGAAGTGCTCTAAATTGGTGCTTGTAGAAGCAGAAGAGGAGTAATAGTGGAATTTTCTAAAATAAGCCTGTTCTCGCCATTGCTTAGTAAATATGCTGAGCATGAGTACATGAACCCTTAAAGGCTATGATCACTTCTCCAACTATTTATTTTCACAATCTGTAACATCAATTAATTTTGCATTGTTTTAATACTTGAGGAATAGATACCATGGGCGTAGACACAACTCACAGAAGCAGTGTTGTTCTGCATCAAACAGGAGTTTCAGACTCTGCAAACCACAAGTTAGAGGTCCCAAGCTTGTTATCTGTTTGACTTTCTCCTGAGGTCTTTGGATAATCATTGTCCTTGTTCTGTGGGTCTATTTCCCCATATGAGTTGTCTGCTTTTTTTGCCTTTTTTTTTTTTTAGACAAAGCCTTGCTCTGTCACTCAGGCTGGAGTGCAGTGGCACAACTTTGGCTCACTGCAACCTCTGCTTCCTGAGTTCAAGCGATTCTCCTGCCTCAGCCTCCCAAGTAGCTGGGATTGCAGGCATGTGCTACCATGCCCGGCTAATTTTTCTATTTTTAGTAGAGACGGGGTTTCACCATGTTGTCCAGGCTGGTCTCGAACTCCTGACCTCGTGATCCACCCGCCTCGGCCTCCCAAAGTGCTGGGATTACAGGCGTGAGCCACCACGCCCGGCCATCTGCATTATTTTTAAGACTTAATCAGACACTCAGCAAGCCAAATTGTTTCCTGATGCAAATAAGTTCTGGTAAGACTGCCATGAGGGCCCATCCTTGATTTACCCCTTAGCTGTCTTTAAATCAGGTTTCTTTCTTAAAGTTACTTGGATTCTTAAAGTGACTGTTGAGAATATGCTTTTAAGGTTCAGGAGGAAGCACGACACTAAAACCCTACACTTCAAAGGGTGTAAAGAATCCCCCTGTTCCTTGTAGGTTGTGCTGGACATAATGTTAATTAGATGCTCTCCAGACCAGTTCTGGAGAGTCGGCACACTCTGCTGCACCCAACAGCCGTCATGGGGTCTGCTGTTGGCCCGTGGCCATCACGGTCTAGGACTACCTCTTGAAGCTGTCAGGACTCCTGGATCTAAGTCTCCTCCTGCCCACGAATTAGGAAGTTTGAATAGGAGGACAGGATGTGGTGAGCGTAATATCTGGAGGAAAAAGCAGATTGGAACCGAGACATCTCTGGTTTGCTGATATTTCACTCTTCTAGAACAAGCAGTGTTAACTTACATTTTTGGCAAAAAATACCAGAGAAAGGATGCTCATAACTTGAATTTAATCCCAAAAAACATTAAACACAATTGAGGCACATTCTACAAAATACCCAACCAATACTCTTCAGAATTATCAAGGTCACAGAAGACAGAGACTTGAGGAACTACCCCAGATTGGAGACGTGACAATTAAATGCAATGTGTGGTCCTGGATTGGATCTTGAACCAGAAAAAGGACGTCAGTGAGCCAACCGGTGAAATTTTCGTAAGATCTGTAAATTAGCTCACAATAGTATATCAATGTTAATTTCCTGCTTTTGATCATTGTGTTGTGGCTATTTGAGATATTAATACTTGGAGAAGCTGGGAGAGGACAAGGAATATGGGAATTCTTCATTCTATTTTTAAAACATTTTTATGTCTGAAATTCTTTTAAAATGAAAAATTGTGTTTTAATTTTTAAAAAAGAATAGATGTAGAATAGAAAACTTTCATAGCAGTGTATGTTGGTGAGGAATTAAAAAATCAGTAGGAGTAACTAACATGGAAGGGGATTGGTGAAGCACACAAAAAGGAAAGTGAATAGAAAATCCAAACTAAGGGGTAAAAATATTTTCTAATGGATTAGCACAGTAACATCAATGAACTAATGTTTTCAGATGAAATAGATCCTCAGATTAGATCCCAGCCCCCCCCAAAAAAATTCATCTATGTGGTATTTCTAAATATGTGCTATTTCTGGGTCCTAAATAAAAGGACTCAAAGGTTGAAAGCAAAAGAATGCCAGCCCTACCCCACTCCCACCCCAAAAAAAATGTTTGCTAGGGAAATATTCATGAAAAGAAAGCTAGTGGTGCTAAGTTGATATCACACAAAATATACTTGATGGCAAAATGTTATTTAGGAATATATTAAGGCTATTGTGTAATGATGAAAGTAATAATTTGCCAGGAAGATAAAACGATTTCTAAACTTAGGTACATTTAATAATATTAATAACTTCAGGCCGGGCAAGGTGGCTCACACCCGTAATCCCAGCACTTTGGGAGACCAAGGCAGAAGGATCCCCTGAGGTTAGGAGTTCGAGACCAGCCTGGCCAACATGCTGAAACCCCGTCTCTATTAAAAACAGAAGAATTAGCCAGGCATGGTGACAGGCGCCTGTAGTCCCAGCTACTTGGGAGACTGAGGCAGGAGAATCACTTGAACCCAGGAGGCAGAGGTTGCAGTGAGCCGAGATCACGCCATTGCACCCCAGCTTGGGCAAAAAGAGCAAAACTGTCTCAAAAAAAAAAGTAAATAATAATATATTAATAACTTCAATAGATATAATTTTTTAGTTTTACCTATATAATTTTTTAGTTATAGGGTTTGGGATTTGCAATCCATAAACATACTAGTAGATTTTTAACACATTTTTCTCAATATTGATGGATTAAGCAGTCAAAATAATTATCAAATGTATAGAAAATTTGAAAAGCACCATTAGCAAGCTTAATCTGGCAGAAATTTGTATAACCTTCTGACTTTAGTTAGAAGACTGACCACATTCTAGCCACAAACAAGTCTGAAGAAATAAAAAATTAGTATCAAATTATCTGACCACAGTAAAATTATATTAGACATTAGTAACAAGAAGATAACTTTTAAAACCCTGCATGTATTTGGAAATTTATTTTTTGTAGAAATAGAGTCTCACTATGTTGCCCAGACTGGTCTTGAACTCTTGGCTTCAAGCGATCCTCCTGCCTCAGCCTCCCAAAGTGGCTGGATTACAGGTGTAAGCCATGCCTGGCTAACATTTGGAAGTTTTAAAACAGACTTCTGAATACCACATAGGTCAAAAAAGAAATTATTAACAAACATTAGAGAAACTGATATCTGAACAGTAATGAAAAATTTTATATCAAAATGTGGCTTGCAGCTGAAGAAACACTTCAAGGTAAATGTAGACTTTAAGTGCCTGTGTTAGAGAGGAAAAGAGACTGAACATGAGCTATGCATGAAACTCAAAAGAATGAGCTCAAAGAAAGTAGAGGGAAAGAGCTAATAAACACAAAATAGAACACAAGATGCAACGGAGATAGTCAAATCAATAAGGCCAATAGCTGGTTCTTTGAGAACATGTAAACAGAAAATCAAAATCTTGGGGCCCCAAACTCACTAAGCCATTGGGAAAAGTTAACCTTGGGTTAACTGCCTCCTGCTTTGTTCCTAAGTAGATAGATAGAAGGCCACATACCTCCCTAGGCGGCCTCCCTCAGTTTTCTCACAAGGTACCTCCCTGTGGGCCCCAAGATCTTTACCCTAAAACAATGTTCTGTTGAATTTCACCCTGACAATGTGAATTCACAGCTTATCTTCACAGGCACAGGACAAAGGCAGGACTGGACGTCATTTCTCCCTCACCCGAGACAAATGCGTGCGTGACTGCCCCATTTGCTCTTCCTCCTGTCAAAAGCATGCTCGCTGAGCAGGAGAGGAACGCATAGGTGACCGTCCGTCTGCCCCGTTCTTTCCATGGCAGCATATGGATTTACGGAGCCCTCATCAGAGCTTCGCGAGAAGGTGACCGTATCCTCCCCTTTTTTCTTTCCTCTCCTGCCCATTTTTTCCCCTCTAAATATTGAAGCCCTGATGCCTTCTTTAGAGAAAGCATGGGTCACAGACGTTCCTGTGGTCCTGTGTTTCTTTTTCCCAGTCACATCCTATCAAAGGAGAAAAAGGAGATACAGAAGAAACATTAGGAATGCAGAGGGAAGCAAGGAAACATATACCCACTTTTGAAAATTCAGATATTTCTATGATAAAACAGTTCCTGAACACAGCAGCGTGAGGACCGGTACCTCAGCTGGAGGATGGGCGGGAAGCGCAGGCGTCCAGAGAGAAAGCCTCTGGTGTCTTCACTTCTCACTCGCTGTGATCCTGACCACACAGGAAGCAGCACCGAGCCAGCCCTCCCCCAGCCCCGAGTCCTGTCAGTCACTCACACACAGCTTACACACATCCTCATCAGAAAAGAACACAATTCTTTTGAGTGGGAACACTAACATACAGTTTTCAGGTTTATTATCCTAGGTTTGACACACCAAGTCACAACATGAAATCCCATTGTGTGTATAGTCTGATGGATTAATTATCCACGATGACATTTTGAATGACAAGCAGGTTTTGAAAATGTAGGTTCCTGATCAGACGTTTGAAAAATGCCACTGTGAGAATAAAACTGCTGCTGCTTGCCGACACACAAATGGTGTCCCAGCCACGCGGGAGCCCAGCGCCCCACGCCCTGCCCCACACCTGTGCAAAGCCAGGCTCCCCACAGCTAACTCCTCCAGACTCGCGGAGGCAGAGGATGAGGGAAGAGTGCCTTGGCGACTGGCTTTTTCCCTTTTTAGTTGTGTGTGTGTGGAGCGGATAACCCTTAATTTTGTCTGAGGAGGTGGCTCTGCAGCCTTACAGTGCATTGGAGTGACCTGCTGGACTCAGAGTCAAGTAACAGCCAGCGTGGGGCAGGGACCCAGGCGTCTGCGCTTATCACGGACTCCGGGTGGTCCGAGGTGCAACAAGGCTTGCGTGCCACAGCTAACAGCTTCGGCATCTGAGCTTCCCAGGCTCGGTCATGGTGCCCCTGGGCTGTTTGTCAGACAGTCCCGCATTTACAGGGATTAGCAGCTACTCTCACGATACCATTTTCAGATCTGCATAACTATCCCCATTTTACACAGGAGGAAACTGCAGTAAACAGGTCAAATAATGCCCAAGGTCATGTAACTAGGTAGACACAGCTCAGATTGGAACGCAGAGTCTTGCTCAGCACCCGTCCCCCTCACCACCGTGCCTGGAGGTAGCACTGTTCATGCACAGCACTCTCCTGAGAGCCCACTGTCAGAGTAGCCCTCACATAGGAGAAGCACGTGCTCAAGTCTGCGGGACTCCACAGTGGGAACTGAGAGCAGCCCTGGGGCACGGGCGAGCCCTAGGCCTGGGAGGCTGTGGAGCTGAAGCGCATGTAGTTCTGCTCTCAGGGGGTGCACAGGCTCTCCGGGGAAACAGAAGGGGTACCCCCACGTGCTCCACGCCAAGCAGACGTGCAAGCACCAAGCAACGAAAGGGCTGTTCTTGGCCCTGTCCTCGCTCGCCGTGGGCAAATCTATTATCGCAAAAGAGGAGGGAAGCATTTAACCAAAGACAGCTAGACTGACAGAAGTTTGGAATAAGTTTATTTTCCCCAACTCCCTGAGACTTCTGCTTAGGTGTGAAGAAGTTAGACGTGCCAGGTGTGCTACTCAGAGACCCCCATGGCTGTGAGGACAGCAAGAAACCACAGTGGGCTTATAGATGTTAACTGAAGCCATGGAGAGGGTGGATGAGATCATATGAGATGAAGTTAGGACAGAACCACGAAGTGGACCAGGGCTGAGGGCAGATCATAGAAGACAGGGCTGCAAGAGGGAGCTGGGAGCACAGAGGCTCTGGCCAGAAGCAAAAGGAAAGGGATACATCACAGTTTGCTGGTTAGAAAATGTCTACAAACTTAGCCATTTAACTGACCAGTGTCCTAGAGTTTTCAGAAGGAAATCCTACACAGCAGTTTCTCTACCCGCTGCCCCTGTATCTTCATATGCCACCTAGCATTGATGGGAGAAATACTGCATTCACGGAGATACCAGGTGTGTGATGTCTATGTGCTGTTATATAACAAGGTAATTATTCAGCTGTGCCAATAACAAAACTGATATCATACACAATGATGTCCTCAGCTCCCGCCCCGCATGTCTGCACAGGTGTGCCTATATTTAACCGTTCCTGCTAACCCTGACATCACCTTTCATAGGCATAGAATGTGGTGCTTTTCCAAGAACCTTCATGTATAACGTTGTTGAGTTCCTGTGAAGTGAGCAGACTATTTTCACATCTGGACTTTACCAAGGAGAAAGCTGAGGCTAGCAGACATTTAGTTCGTTAGTTATAATCACAAAAGAGCTCGTGACAGAAAGGCAAGGAAACCAAGATGTACCAAGTCCTAGTGCAAACGCCTCTGGTCGTGGGGATGAAGACAGTGTGTGACCTCAGGAAATATCGCAGCTCCTGCCACTCTTCTCAAGCAAGGTATCCTGGGATCAGCTTCTTGCTCCAGAGTGCTAAGTAAATGCCCTCCACCTATGGGCTAGAAACGCCAGGGCCTTGCCCTAAAGAAAGGGAGTGGTTTTTTTTTTTTTTTTCAAAGACACTTGTTTTAAACTCACATCAAAACTTACACATCCAGCCGGACGCGGTGGCTCATGCCTGTAATCCCAGTACTTTGGGAGGCCGAGGCGAGCGGATCATCTGAGATCAGGAGTTCGAGACCAGCATGACCAACATAGGGAAACCCTGTCTCTACTAAAAATACAAAAATTAGCTGGGTGTGGTGGTGCATGCCTGTAATTCCAACTACTTGGGAGGCTGAGGCAGGAGAATCACTTCAACTTGGGAGGCAGAAGTTGTAGTGAGCTGAGATTGAGCCACTGCACTCAAGCCTGGACGACAGAGAGACTCCATCTTAAAAAAAAAAAAAACCACAAAAAACTTACACATCCAAATGAATTCTGCCCTCGATGTAATTTATTTTAATATGCAATAGTTGGTAAACCAACTGTGCAGACATCATCTTGAAGATATTCAGAGGTCTCTTAAATATGGTCCAGGTATTGGATGAGATTTAGAAATTAGTTTTGGTAGGTGTGGGGATGGTGTTGGGCCTGTGAGAGACAATGGCCTTGTTTTTAAAGCTGCCTGGAGATGTACATAGGCTCAAAACAAGGTGGCATTTGGGCTGGACTTCTGCAGCAGGATGGCAGCATTACATTTATGTAGATGAATCACACATCCTCAGAGTAGATGAGAGCTCTGCCGCCTGGACGTTAGAACATTCCATCTGGGAGTTTATTGAATTTTCAGCAATGCCCTCAGAACCAATTTGCAAACCCCAGAGCAGTGGGATCCCATTGCTTTAGAGAACTACATCTGAACGTCTGAGCACCTGCCGATGTCGGGCCTGCACAGCAGCACCATAGCCCGTGCTTGTCGCCTCCCAGCACTCCTGCTTCGAGCTGTGATGCGGGAGACTGAGCCTGGAAGACAGCGAATCCTGACACTAGGACTTGGCGGTTTGATTTCTTCCTGTGCAAGGACCTTCAGTTGTTTTATTAAGTTCCACGATCAAGTCTTAGGCCAAGGCTGCAACCAAGTGTCTCCAACCAGGCTTCGGGTATAGATTTTACAGAGCAGGGCGATTCTCTACCACCCAGCCCGCTGCCTGGGCCTTGCTGCATGGGACCGAGGACGGGGCTCCTGATGGTGGAAAAACATCCCCAGGTGGGACAGGGACGGCTCAGCTCACTGAAGAGGAGGAAGTGGAGGCAGGTGGGCAGAGGTGAAGCCTGGCTTGTTGAGCGCATGGTAGTGAGCGAGGTGCTAAGAGGTGTGCCTGGAAACCATCTGGACAATGAGGTGTTGCAGAGAATGCCACAGCCGATGACTGGAAACTACATAACCAAAGCATCTGTCAGGCTAGGCTGACGGAAGCATCGGGCAGGGGAATGTCCCTCTCCCACACCCAACCCCCAGGGATTTCTTTAAGGTGAGGAAGAGATTTTCTACTGTAAGATATCAGGGGTTTTTTCCTCACTATTCAGGAAAATACCATACACTAAAGTTTCCTTTTTATAAGCAGCGACTGCTGAACTGGCAGCCCAGACATCCCCATTGCTGGGGGTGGGGCAGCCTCTGGGAGTGTGCAACCCCACCTGCAGCCTCGAGCCCCGCCGGGGCTCTCCCACCCGGGCTAAGATGCCGCTGTTAAAAATCACGGTTCAGTAAGCACCGCCTGCCCTGTCTTTGTGTGCAGGACTATGTCCAGTTAAACCCTCAACAGTGGAAGGCCACCCCACAGGGACAGGCAGGGTGGCCTGGCCGCTCCCTCCACCCTTGGTACGGGGGCCACCGCCCAGCCTCCGCACCCTGGCGGGGCAGGGGGAGAGGTGTGCTGCTTGACACCCAGAGGAAGTGCATCTGCAGCAGTCCCCCTTATCCCTGCTTTCACTTTCCGCTGTTTCAGCGACCCGCACTCAACCGTGGTCCGAATCTATTAAGTGGAAAATTCTAGAAATACATAATTCCTGGGTTTTAAAAGGTGCACAGCTCTGAGTAGTGTGATGCAATCTTGCATGGGGACGTGATTCATCGCTTTGCCCAGGGGATCCACGATGGAGGTGCTGCCTGTCCCTCAGCCACTGAGGAACCCTGTCCCTTATGAGGCCGACTCTCCAGGTGGCCGTGCGTGTGTTCAAAGAACCCGTATTTTCCTTGAAAATGGCACCAAGGTGCAGGAGCGGTGATGCCGGCAATTCAGATTGCCAGAGAGGAGCCATCGAGGGCTTTCTTTACGTGAAACGGTGAACGTTCCTAAGAAAATAAAAGCTGCCAGGTGCGGTGTCTCACGCCTGGAATCCCAGCAGTTTTGGAGGCTGAGGTGGGCAGATCACTCGAGCCCAGGAGTTTGAGACCAGTCTGGGCAACACAGCAAAACCCTGTCTCTACAAGAAATACAAAATGTAGCCAGGCATGGTGGTATGCCTGTAATCCCAAGTACGGGGGGGTGAGGCTGGAGGATGATTGAGCCCCACAGGTCAAGGCTGCAAGGAGCCTTAACTGATCCATCACACTCCAGCCTGGGCGACAGAGCCAGACCCTGTCTCAAAACAAAACAGAAAGAAAAAACAATTGTAAGCTGAACTTGCTAAGATCTACAGTAAAAATAAGTCTATTCATGAAAATGTGATGAGGGAAAAGGAAATTTGCGCTCGTTTTACTATCACATCTCAAACTGCAAAAGTTATGGCCACAGGGCCTGATAGTGCTCAGTTAAGAAGGAGAAGGCATTAAATGTATGGGTGGAAAACGAACAGACACGTGTCCTGATTGACAGCGACTGGATTTAGGACTCTCCATGGTTTCAGGTGTCCCTGGGAAGCATATCCCCTTATTGACAAGGGGGTCCACAATGAAACTGCTCTTCTGGGCCCCAGATTTTCCATGTACCACTGGCAGATCCTATGAGAGAAGCCTCTGCAGAGGCCATGTTGTGACCTTCGCACGACAGAAAGAGGGAGGGGCGGAGGCAGAAAGAGGAGGAAGAGAGAGACACAGAGACAGAGAGAGGAGGGGGAGAGAGGAGGGAGACGGAGAGGAGGGAGACGGAGAGGAGGGAGACGGAGAGGAGGGAGACGGAGAGGAGGGAGACGGAGACGGAGAGGAGGGAGACGGAGAGGAGGGAGAGAGAGAGACACAGACAGAGAGAGAGACAGAGACAGAGAGAGACAGAGACAGAGAGAGACAGACAGACAGAGAGACAGAGACAGAGACAGAGAGAGACAGAGACAGAGAGAGACAGAGACAGAGAGAGAGACAGAGACAGGGAGAGGAGGGGGAGAGAGGAGGGGGACGGAGAGGAGGGAGACGGAGAGGAGGGAGACGGAGACGGAGAGGAGGGAGACGGAGACGGAGAGGAGGGAGACGGAGACGGAGAGGAGGGAGACGGAGACGGAGAGGAGGGAGACGGAGAGGAGGGAGACGGAGAGGAGGGAGACGGAGACGGAGAGGAGGGAGACGGAGAGGAGGGAGACGGAGAGGAGGGAGAGAGAGAGACACAGAGACAGAGACAGAGAGACAGAGACAGAGAGAGACAGAGACAGAGAGAGACAGACAGAGAGACAGAGAGACAGAGACAGAGACAGAGAGAGACAGAGACAGAGAGAGACAGAGACAGAGACAGAGAGAGACAGAGACAGAGACAGAGAGAGACAGAGAGACAGAGACAGAGAGAGACAGAGAGAGACAGAGAGAGACAGAGACAGACAGAGAGAGAAACACAGAGACTCTCCCTGCAGGCTTCACCAAGGCCAGGTCAGAATGAGATCCTGCTACACTTCATTTCGGGAACCCTCAACACCCTTTCATTTGTAAGAAAATCCCATAAATGCTTTATAAAAGTAGGCAATATCTTTGATAATTCAGCTCGCAAATGAAACTTAATTTTGGATATTTTAAAACATGAAGATAGTCATTTAAAGAACACACAAAAAACAACAAGTGACGTGAAAGTCATTAGGCATTCGGACTTCCTAAGCATTGCAGAATTTATAAAACTCTCCAAGTCAGTGTCTCCGAGCACGTGGCTCTAGGTCAACGTAAGAAACTAACATTCCACATTCTAAAACCAGGAGCTTCCTAAGCCCTCCTTTTTGGCTCAAAACAAAAATTCTCCTCTTTGGATGGGTCTGTTCCAGCTGAGCTGATGTAAAGCCTCCAATTTCCTTGCCTCCTACCTGATACTTTTTTTTTTTTTTTTTTTGAGACAGTCTCACTCTGTCACCCAGGCTGGAGTGCAGTGGTGCGATCTCCGCTCACTGCAACCTCCGCCTCCTGGGTTCAAGTGATTCTCCTGCCTCAGCCTCCTGAGTAGCTGGGATTACAGGCATGCGCCACCACACCCAGCTAATTTTTGTATTTTTAATAGATGAGGTTTCACCCTGTTGGCCAGGCTGGTCTCGAACTCCTGACCTCAGGTGATCCTCCCCCCTCGGCCTCCCAAAGTGCTGGGGTTACAGCTACCTAATACTCTTCATGGAAAAGGCACCGTGAAGAGCAGGCCATCACATTTCTGTTTATTCAGAAGTGAGTTCTACCACAGGAGCAGGGTGCCTTGGAGATTGGAGTCGCAACATCCACCGGCCGGGTAGGACAAACAGAAGCTGCTGTCCTCCCCTCTGCGAGTGGAGCAGAACCCAGGCATCCCAAGGCTCCTCTCAGCTCTGTCACTAACCTGCGGTTACCAAGCTCGGATTCTGGACACCCATTAGTCATTTTGTGAAAAAGTTTGTAAACTGTAAAGTGTCCCACAACCATTATCTCTCTCTGTATCAGGTAGCTGGTCTCTTCCCACAATAAGCCACAATAGAACTGGTGTGCTGGCACTTTCACCCTCAGGGCGGGGACCTGAGCGAGGGGTGGGGACGGAGGTGTGTGGTGGGCACTCCCTGCGCCTGCACTATCCCTTCCCGAATGGCTGTAAGTTCCACTTCGTGTGGCGGACCAAGTCCCTCCGCTTCTCCCTCCATCCTGCTTAGCTGCAGCTGGAGCTTCAGGGCTGAAAGTCGCCGTGGTCCCCAAGGAAGGTGCGGTGCCCGACGCACTCTTGCCGGCCACTGTGATAATGCCTGGCTCCTTCCCGATGGCACAAGAATCACTTCTATTTTAATTTCATTCAGATCTGAATAAAAATCTATTTTAGTGGTACTGATGTCATCATTTTCCTAATTGTACTGTTTCTATAAAACATTAACATTGGGGAAACTAGATGAAGGGGTATATGGACCCTCTCTGCACTAACTTTGCAACTCTTCTCTATGTCTGAAATTATTTCAAAATAAATAGTTGGGGAGAAACCTGAGGGCCATTTTCCAGACCTGTTAGAAGTTCCAGTAACACCCAAACAGCTCTTGCCCTTGCCACGGAAGGTCTGGAGCAGGCATGAGGGCAGGGAGGCGGTTGGAGCGGCCGTCAGAGCTGCACACTGGCCGGTCTGGTCTCCAGTTAGCTCCAGGAATCTCGCCAAAAAGACTCTGCCCGTGTTCCCATTCGCCACTGTCAGCTGTGCGACTAAGCCCACCCAGAGCCCCTCATTCTTCTTTGCTGTCCCTGGTTTGAGTCTCCAAATGGGACTGGGGTGAGGATGGATCTCCGGACTCGAGGACAGGTGACGTGCGTTTCCCACTTATAGACAGCCTTGTGCCCTGAGTCAGAATTTTACCAGAGGGAAAAACTCAAAAAACCTCTGAGGAAACAGATTCATTTCTAACTCCTTTCTTCATCCATTTTTTCCAACAACTATTATTGCATGCCTCCTACACGTGAAGTGTCCTGCTAGTCAGAAACGAATGGCTGGTCCAGAGCCAGCATGTGGCCGCACCGTGTCTCGCGGGTCCCCCGACTGCCGGCGCAGGCTCGAGTGCCATTCTGATTCCTTCCCACCATCCCCTGACCACAGGGAGGCATGTCCCTGTGACTCAGAGAACCGTTTGTGCCTTGGTGAACTCGTTGTCAGGAAGCAAGTGAACGCAGGTTAGACCAAATTAACCTCCTCCGGTCTCATCTGCAAATGCCGCCTGCTACCTCCATGGACAGCCAGAAAGCGGTGGCCTCGAATGACAAAGCCAAGCTCTTCAGCCTCAGATTCATTTCACTCATTTTCCTGTTGCCATGAGTTGCGTTCTCCTTCAAAGATCCCCCACTCACCCTGAAACCTTCTTGAATTATTTCGCCTCCATCCTGCACCTCCCTCCCTGGCCAGCCCCCTGTCCTACCCATGCTTTCCAACAGGGCTTCCTGGATCCAGCCCTTTCCTCACTGTCCCCTTCACCTGACCCAGGAAGAATAACATTCTAAAGGAAGTCCAGCTGTTCTATCAACATAAAAATCGTGGTGACTTTGACACAATACAAGCTTATAACCTGCTCCCATGGAAGTCCAGCGTGGTGTGGTGTTCCTGGTCAGGTTGTTCCTGGAAGGCTCCCCTTTCAACAGCAGCTCCCGCCTCCCGGGGCTCCAGGATGAGCTGGCCTGTGGCGCGCTCTCCACCCAGTCCTCAGCTGGAAATGGGAAACCTGAGGCTTGCACGGCAGGACTTCTCTGGGGAGGGCCAGGCCAGGACACGGTCCTCCTGCCCACATTCCTTCAGCCTGGCTCAGCCCCATGCCCCCACACTGAAGACCACACTCAAGTCCAGGGCACATGGAGTCTGGCCATGTGCCCACCACACACGTGATAGACTGAGCTCAGCCAACTCGTGCAGTTCATAACACAGAAACCCTCCTCTCTCTTCTACCATAAACTGCCAAGCTTGCCTCATTTCCTTCCTTCAGAGGATACGAGACGTAGATGTCCACAGGTTACTGTCATGTTTTCTACCCTAGTCCTTGCCTTTCGAATGTCTTTGAAGACTCACCAAGCAATATAAGATCAAAATTCCTGGGTCTCATCAATACCAGATCACCAGCCCCGGTTTTCAGTCCCCAATCCTAAACCGGGCTCCGGGAGCTGGATGTTCCATCTGTGCCCCGAGGCGTCCCTGCTCTGACCTCTGCCTTGGCAAACCAGCACCCAGCATTCTGGCTCCTGGATGCCTGTGAACGACAGGAACCTGGCAGGAGAAAGGAGAAAGAGGATGGGGCAGGTGGCGGGAGCAGATGTGCCACTGGTTGGAAGGCCACCTGTCCTTTCAGTCACCCTCTGCACTGGAGGGGAGTCTGCCCTTGATTTTCCTCCTCCAGGCCCTCGGGTGGGAGGACCTCTGCAGCCTGCAGCTCCCCCCATGCTGTGTCCTGTGTTTCCACAGGACCTTCTCTCACCTCTGCAAACAGCCACCTTTTTAAACCATTGCTGAATTCTCCGAGTTTATGGGTACCATCGGATGGATTCCTGGTGAGATGTTGCCTGGGATTCCTGGATCCCATCAGCTTCCAGCTGGATGTTTAAGTCCAGGCCAACCCTGTCCCTGCCTGCTTCCTGCCCCGCCACCCCCCCCCCCCCCACAGTGTCCATGGCAGCCTTCACCTCTGTCTTCAGGCCACAGCTGAATCTTCATCTTCTTTATTCTCAGACACCTCCCAACCTCCGACCCCAGCTTTAGGGGTGCACAAGCATTGGGGCAGCTTGACCACCCCAGCCGCTGATGAGTTTAGCCCACTCTCTGCTCAGTTTGTTTTAAAAAGGATTAGAGGCGAGGTGCGGTGGCTCATGCCTGTAATCCCAGCACTTTGGGAGGCTAAGGCAGGTGGATTTCCTGAGGTCAGGAGTTCATGACCAGCCTTGGCCAACATGGTGAAACCCTGTCTCTACTAAAAATATAAAAAATTAGCTGGGCATGGTGGTGCACACCTGTAATCCCAGCTACTACGGAGGCTGAGGCAGGAGAATCACTTGAACCCGGGAGGCAGAGGTTGCAGTGAGCTGAGGTCGCACCACTGCACTCTAGACTGGGCAACAAGAGCAAAACTCCATCTCAAAAATAACAAAATAAAAAATAAAATAAAAATAAAAAAGATTAGACACCTCCCACACTCAGTCACCACCTACCACTGGCTTCGGAATCCCCCGTATTCCACCTTCTGGCTCACTAAGGAAAGTCTCCTCACTAAGATGACCAGTGGCTTCCAAATTGCCAGGTCATACCCACGTTTCAGATCTTATCTCATGAGGCTTTTGGACCTTTTGATCAGTCCTTCAAATAATTTTTCATAACCCAAGTCGTTTTGGTAAATGTTGAAGAAAATGCTGAAATAAAGGTAAGCCAAAAAAAAAAAAATTTATGGTCCTACTACCTAGAGACAACCACTATTAACATTTTACTGTTAGCCTTCCGGACTCTTCTGTGCTTACATATTAAATGGATGTTAACGAATTAATAATACATAACATGTAGCAACCACCTTTAAAATATGATCATCTTGCCTTATTAAAAATATGAAGACATTCATTTTAGTGGCTGCATTGGGTTGCAGGGCGTGGACTTGCCTACCTTTGGGAATGTTGATTGTTGCCCATTTTCCTTGTTGGAGAACAATCTTGTGATGAATGAACTCCTTAGTACTTCATATCTATTCACTCTCATTGTTTTCTTAGAAAAAATTGCTAGAAGTTAAAGCCCCACTGCCAGCTGTCAGCCCCCACACATCCCCTTTCTGCATGGTTGTTTCCTAGGAGTATACCCTTTTCCTAAGTGCAGAAAAGGACGGAGGAAGAGCTGCGACGTGGTTGCAGGTGTCAGACTCCCCCATGAAGGAGGGAAATCTGTCTGCCTGCCTGGGCGCTAGGACTGGAGACAGGTGCCAGGGAGGGTGGCAGCGCTTCTCTGCCTGGAAAACAAAGTGGAAGCCTGAGCTGGTATCTCTCCGGCATACTCCTCCCTCCGGGCCATCACTGCGTCCTCCTGCGTCCGGCATTATGTTCCCTCTGCAGGCCTTTGCTGCTGGTGCGGTGAGACTTTACTTAAGGGGTAGCATTTTAGTAAGAAGTCTGACAAGCAAGGCTATTGACATCTTGAATGTGAAGTGAAGTCCGTGCTTTCCTGCTTCCTGAGATTCCTCTGGCCCCGTGGCTTCAGTGAAACCACACCTTCCTGTTTCCCTCTGAGCCCTTCCTCCTCATCTTTCCGTCTCCTTCTTAGGCTCCTCTTCTTCCACACAGCCCCTAAATTCCAACAATCACCAGGCTTTCCCCCAGAAATCACTCTGCTTACGCTCCCCACTCGCTGTGCCTGTATGGTGGGGTGGGGTCCAACCCACTCAAATTATTAGCCACTAAGACACCCTTGACCCCTTCTTCTCTCAGACTCGAAATTCATCTGCCCAACTGCCTGCTAAGCACCACCTGTGTAATTTATGGATCTCAAAGTTGTTGGGCTCAAAGCGGATTTCACCTCCCTGCCCCTCACTCAGGGCTCCCCTGAGCTGTCTGTGTCAGGGGATACACTGCTGTCCACCCAGCACATAATCCACAAACCCAGCCGTTCCCGTGTGTTCTTCTCCCTCACGCCTCCCACCTGGCCAACCACCACCCATCATCAACTTCACCCTGGAGGAATCTGTCCAATGGGCAACTACTTCATCATCACTGCCCTGGCTAATGCAGGCCCTGGCCATCTGCCACCAGGAAAACGTACCAGCTGGCCTCCCTGCCTCCCACCACCCTTTTCCGACCCAAATGCAACCTCGCAGCACAGTGTGGTAAGTATTTCTATATCTGGATACTGGATACCATACCCTATGCTACTCCTCCACCAAGACTTTCCAATGCTCTTACTGCATACGGGATACAGCAGACAGCCCTGCAGGATGTGCTTCCCGACCACCTTGCCTGCTTTAGCTTTCACTCCTTTCTTTACGTACCAGAATCCACACCTGGATTTTTTGTGATTTCCATGATGCACACCTCCAACCCTTTGCTAATAACATTCATTGCCTGGAATGTCCTTCCTCTCTATGTGACCAATTTGACCTCTCCATAAGTTTCAGCTCTCTTAGACAGCCATTCCTAACTTTTTTTTTTTGTCCCCACAAATAGATGCTTTTCTTCGTGTTCCCAAAATGCTCTTTGAAAATGTATGCCATTACTCTTACCACATTGCATTGCAGTTACGTGCTTTTACAACTAGACTTTGAGATCCAGGAAAGCAAGACTATGCCTTTTCCATGTCTGATTCCCTGGTTTCTATTCTAGTATCTGGCACATTGACACTCAATAACTTTTTAAATATATGGGTGAGTAATATTTGTCTTCCAATATTAGAAGAGCTGCCATTAGAACATGTAATAAGCTTACATTTAGCCGAAAGAGATAGGTTTAACGAGCGAAAATTATGAAAGGACCAATTGAAACTTGACACGAGAGAGATCTTCTGGCAATCAGAGCTGCCCAGAGATAAAATAGGCTGCCCTGAATGCTGGAGAGTCCCATTATCTCTGGGAGATACGAATACACAGGCCAGACAATTAGAGAATTTGGGTAAATGGTTGGACCAGTTAGCCTTGAAGTTCCTCTTCAGGAACCCTTGTACACTGTTTGTGGGAATGAAAATTGCTTTAGCCATTATGGAGAACAGTATAGAAGTTCCTAAAAAAATTAAAAATAGAACTACCATGTGATCTGACAATCCCACTACTGGTTATCTATCCAAAGGAAATACATTACTATCTCAAAGTGATATCTGCACTCTCATATTTACTACAGCACTATCCACAACAGCCAAAGATACAGAAACAGTGCAAGTGTGCATCAACAGGTGAATGAGGAAAGAGACTGTGGTGTATCTACACAATGGAATACTATTCAGCCACAAAAAGAAGGAAATTCTACCATTTGCAACAACATGGATGAACCTTGAGGATGTCATGCCAAGTGAAATAAGCCAGGCTCAGGAAGAGAAAGATAAATTCCACATATTCACTTACATGTGGAATCTTAAAAAGTCAAACTCAGAAACAAAGTAGAAGGGTGATTATCATGGGTTGGGGTCGGGTGGAGGAAAGGGGTAGATGTTGGTCAAAGGACATAAATTGCAGTTATGAGAAATTCTGGAGACCTAATGTACAGCATGGTTAACTGTAGTTAACAATGGTGAATTGTATACTCGAAATTCATAAGAGTAGATCTTAAGTATTCTCACCACAAAAAGTAACCATGTGAGCTGATGGATATGTTAACCATCTTGCTTGTGGAAATCATTTCACAATATATAGGTATATCAAAACATCGCATTGTACATATTGAATATATACAATTTTTAAATGTCAATTATACCTCAATAAAGCTGAAAGTACTATTAAAAACGGCTCTGAGAGTCTAAGGGTTAACTAAATCCTTAAGATGGGTCCTGGAATATCAATAGAGACAGTGGTGAGAGAGCAAAGTACACTAGATGGCCACACTCTCAGGACCCAGGTGCACAGATCCTGCCTGAGACTGAGGCTGGACCTGGAGAACTGAAAAGTCCCTAACATCATTAATATTAGGCTTGATATGAGCCTAACATTGAGTAACAGCATCAGTCTACTCAGGGGAGGAGAACAAGCATAAATATAGCCCCCCCTCTATGGTGGGGAAGGGGGCTGCAGAGACTGCTGAAAGGTGAGGGTGGAATTCTCTACCACCCGGGCTCCCACCAAGCAAAATCTACAGAAGCCCACTGCTAGAGGTTTTTTACAGCCACTAAAGGTAATGAAAGCAAAAGCAAAAAACAAACCC
Organism: Homo sapiens; assembly: GCF_000001405.40. Taxonomy (NCBI): domain Eukaryota; kingdom Metazoa; phylum Chordata; class Mammalia; order Primates; family Hominidae; genus Homo; species Homo sapiens. Next base: position 461,070 of record NC_000006.12, on the reverse strand, counting down.
AGCTCAACTGCTGACTCAGTTGACTCTACCCTCCACCCTAATGAAGAGCCTGCGTATTTCCAAATGTATATGTTATTTACCTCAGTAAATTATTTTCTACACATCATATCTGTGCCATTCAATCAAAAATTGAGACACAATAAAGATTTAAGAAAAAAACATTTTCAAGAAATCAAGCAATCAACAGACCACATACACAGATGACCAAATGTTAGAAGTATCTGATAGGACTTTAAAATAACTAATCTATGAAAGAACCTAGTGGAAAAAGTGAACAACATGTATGGACAGATAGAAAATTTTAGCAGAAAGTTGGAGACAATAAAAAAGTTGAATGGCAATGTTAGAAATGAAAATAGTGTCAGATACAAAGAATTCCTTCAATGAGCTTTTAGCAGAATGAATATAATGTAGCAATGAAGTCAGTAGAAACTATCCAAAGGAAATAAAAGAAGACCAGGGGTTGGGGGGATGGCAGGAACTGAACACAGCATCCTAGAAATGTGGAACAATATCAAATGGTCTAACATATCCTTATTTGGACCTCCAGAAGAAGAGAGACAAAATGAAGTGAAGGTATTTGAAGAGACAGTAGCTGAAAATTTTCCAAAATTAATGAAATACAACAAACCACAGATCTAAGAGGCTCTAAGAACCTTAAGCAATATAAATACATTTATACACATACACGACACACAGACACACACACACACGACACACAGTCCAACTAGTATTTTGCAAAGATAGACAAAAAATCTTAAAAGGCAGCTGTAGAAAAAGAAACATTATGTATAGATTTACAGATTATTTCTTATCTAAAATTATGCAGGCCAAAGACAATACAGTGAAATTTGTTTAGTAGGGGTTTCCCTTTCTGGCAGTCAATCAGGGTCTGAAAATATTAAATGGAATATTCCAGAAACAAACAACTTATAAGACTTAAATTGCATGTCATTCTAACTAGTGTGATGAATCTCTTGCTGTCCCACTCCAGCCTTTGTTCATCACAAGAAGGGTGAGTATAGCACAGAAAAGATATTTTGAGAAAGAGGGCAAAAGAGAAAGGCCACAATCACATAACTGTTCTATTTTATTATGAGTTATTGTTGTTACTCTCTTACCCTGCCAAGGTTAAAAATTAAACTTTATCATAGGTATGCATGTGTGAAGGGAAAATAAAATCTCAGCCACTACACCAAAGGGAAAAGTTAAGCTTGAGGTCTGAGTCATGCAAAAACTGCCTTCCTTTTGTTCCCAAAAATACTGCTGTAATTTCACTTGCTTATTTTGTCTTATGAAAAACGTAGATTTACTGAGTGCAAGCCAAGTACCTAATTTTTTCCTCTACCCCCTCCTTTTCGTGTGTAAAACGTAGATTCACTCAGTCCTAACCAAAGCCTCACAAGAATGTAACCACTTGCTTCGTGGCCCTTTTTCCCCCTTCCTCCTTTCTTCTATTTGCTTTTTGCCCTTAAATACTGAAGTCCTCAAAACTCTCTTTGGAAAAAGCACAGGCCACAGATCCTACTGTAACTTATGTTTTCCCCCCAAGGTGCAGCCTCAACCTTTGCAAAATAAACCACTAAACTGATTGAGATCTGCCTTGCTCACTTTTTGGTTTACATATATATGTATATGTATATATTATATATATGTATATGTGTATACACATATATACGATATACATATACCGTTTGACCCAGTGATCCTATTTTTTATATATATACATATATATACACATATGTACAAAAATAGTTTATATAAGATTCAGTAATAGTCATTTGCAGGAATCTACTCAGGGTCTTAGAATGCATCTTCTGTGGATAAAAGGGAATAGTATACTGAGACAAAAAACTGCTTACCTAGAATTCTATACCAAATAAATGTATCTTTCAAAAATGAGGATAAAATATAGATTTCTTTAGATAAATTCAATCTGTGACCATTTATTTTCAGCAAACAGAGGCTGAGAAAATTAGAGCAGAACTACATTGGAATGTGATGCTACACGGAAGTTATTTTAATAGTATCTCCACACACACCAAAGAACACTGAAAATTGTAAAAATGAAAATCTATAATCAAAGGAATTTTTCTTATTTTTAGTTGCACTCAGGACATAGGCATGGGAAAGACTTCATGACTAAAACACCAAAAGCAATTGCAACAGATGTCAAAACTGACAAACAGATCTAATTAAAGAGCCTCTCCACAACCAAAGAAACTATCATCAGAGTGAACAGGCAACCTACAGAATGGCAGAAAATTTTTGCAATCTACCCATCTGTCAAAGGTCTAATATCCAGAATCTACAAGGAACTTAAATTTATAAGAAAAAAAAAAAAACAACCCTATCAAAAAGTGGGCAAAGGACATGAACAGACAGTTCTCAAAAGATGACATTTATGCAGCCAACAAATATATGAAAAAAAAGCTCATCACTGATCATTGCAGAAATGCAAATCAAAACCACAATGAGATACCATTTCATGCCAGTCAGAACAGTGATTATTAAAAAGTCAGGAAACAATAGATAATGGTGAGGCTGTGGAGAAATAGGAATGCTTTTGCACCATTGGTAGGAGTGTAAATTAGTTCAACCATTGTGGAAGACAGTGTGGCAATTCCTCAAGGATCTAGAACCAGAAATACCATTTAATCCAGCAATCCCATTACTGGGTATATAACCAAACGAGTATAAATCATTCTTCTATAAAGATACATGCACACATGTTTATTGCAGCACTGTTCACAATAGCAAAGACTTAGAATCAACCCAAATACCTATCAGATAGACGGGAGAAAGAAAATGTGGTGCATATACACCACGGAATATTATGCAGCCATAAAAAAGAATTATATCACCTCCTTTGCAGGGATGTGGATGAAGCTGGAAGCCATCATTCTCAGCAAACACAGGAACAGAAAACCAAACACCGTATGTTCTCACTCATAAGTGGGAGTTGAACAATGAGAACACATGGACACAGTGAGGGGAACAACACACACTGGGACCTGTCAGGGGGTGGGGGGGGGGTGAGGGGTGAGGGGAGAGAGAGTGTTAGGACATATACTTAATGCATGCGGGGCTTAAAACCTAGGTAACGGGTTGATAGGTGCAAACCACCATGTCACATGTATACCTATGTAACAAGCCTGCACATTCTGCACATGTATCCCAGAACTTAAAAAAAAGACTAAGCAAAAATAGGAAAAATGTACTCTAGAGTTTATAACTTATGTAGAAGTAAAAGTTATGACAATAACAGCACAAAGGATGGAAAAGAACCACCATGTCAGTGTTCTTACCCCCTGTGGAAGTGGCATAGTGTCATAGTTTGGATGTGTTCCTCACCCAGATCTCATGTTGAATCGTAAACCCCAGTATTGGAGGTGGGGATTGGTGGGAGGTGACTGGATCGTGGGGGTAGATTTCTCATGATGGTGTGGCACCATCCACTTGATGTTGTTTCTGTGATAGTGAGTTCTTGTGAGACGTAGTTGTTTAAAAATGTGGCATCCTCCCACTCTTTCTCTGTCTCCTGCTTTTGGCATGTGACATGCCTGCTCCCTCTTCACCTTCTGGCATGATTGCAACCTTCTTGAGGCATCCCCAGAATCTGAGCAGATGTCAGCATCATGCTTCCTGTCAGCCTGCAAAACTGTGAGCCAATCAGATCTCTTGTCTTCATAAATTAGCCAGTCTCAGGTATTTCTTTATAGCAACGTGAGAATGGACTAACAGAAAATTGGTACCACGGAGTAGGACATTGCTATAAAGATACCTGAAAATGTGAAAGCAGCCTTGGAACTGGGTGACGGGCAGAGGTTGGAAGAGTTTGGAGGGCTCAGAAGACAGGAAGATGGGGGAAGTTTGAAACTTCCTAGAGACTGGTTGAATGTTTGTGACCTATATGGTGACAGTGATATATGGACCGTGAAGGCCAAGCTGAGGAGTTCCCAGATGGAAGTGAGAAACTTATGGGGAACTACAGCAAAGGTCACTTTTGTTATGCCTTAGCTAGGAGCATAGCTGGATTGTGTCCATGCCCTCGGGATCTGTGGACATTTGAACTTCAGAGTGATGACCTAGGGTATCTGGCAGAAGAAATTTCTAAGTAGCAAAGTGTCAAGAAGTGACCTGGGTGTTTCTAACAACTTACACTCGGATGCAGAAGTAAAGAATTAAGTTAGAACTTACATCCGAAAGGGAAACAGCATAAAAGTTTGGAAAATCCGCAGCCTGGCCATGTGGTAGAAAAGCAAAGGCCAGTTTTCAGGGGAAGAATTCAAATGGGGTGCTGAGCAACCATCTGCTGGAGAAATTTGCATAATTAAAAGAAAGGCAAGTGCTGATAGCCAAGACAATGGGGAAAAGGCCTGGAAGGCATTTCACAGACCTTCAAGGCAGCCCCTCCCATCATAGGCCCTGAGGCCTAGGAGAACTGAATGGTTTCATGGGCCAGGCTCCAGGCCCCACTTCCCTGTGCAACCTCCAGAGACTGCTCCCTGCATCCCTGCCACTCCAGTTCCAGCTGTGGCTCAAAGGGGCCCAGGTATAGCTTGGGCCACTGCTTCAGAGGGTGCAAGCTGTAAACTTTGGTGGCTTCCATGTGGGATTAAGCCTGCGGGTGTACAGAGTGCAAGAGTTGAGGCTTAGGAGCCGCCACCTAGATGTCAGAGAATGTTTGGAAAAGCCTGGACGTCCAGAGAGAAGCCTGCTGCAGGGGCAAAGCCTTCACAGAGAACCTCTACCAGGGCAGTGCAAAAGGGAAATGTGGGGTTGGAGCCCCCACAGTCCCCACTGGGGCACTGCCTAGTGGCGCTTTGAAAAGAGGACTACTGTTCTTTAGACCATGGAATGGTAGATCCACCAACAGCTTGCACCCCGTTACTGAGAAAAATCCATCCATTAAAAGAAACCAATTGCTGCCCACAGTCACTGTGTGGAGGTTGCATGTTCTCACATCTGCATGGGTTTTCTCCAGGTGCTTTGGTTTTCTCCCACATCCCAAAGATGTGCACATTATGTGAACTGGCGTGCCTGTCCCTATTCCCTATGCCACAGTCCCTGTCTGGGTGATTGTGGGTGTGGGTGTGAGCGTGCCTGTGATGGCATGGCATCCTCACCAGGGTTGGTTCCTGCCTAGTGCCCCGAGCTGCTGGGACACCCACAACCGTTAACTGGAATGAATGCATTAGAAAAGAATGAATGAGGATGGGCGCGGTGGCTCACGCCTGTAATCCCAGCACTTTGGGAGGCTGAGGGGAGTGGATCAGGAGGTCAGGAGATCGAGACCATCCTGGCTAACAGTGAAACCCTGTCTCTACTAAAAATACAACAAATTAGCCGGGCATGGTAGCACGTGCCTGTAGTCCCAGCAATTCGGGAGGCTGAGGCAGGAGAATCGCTTGAACCAGAGAGGCAGAGGTTGCAGTGAGCCGAGATCGCGCCACTGCACTCCAGCCTGGGTAACAGAGCAAGACTTCATCTCCAAAAAAACAAAAAAACAAAAACAAAAAAGAATACAATTTATTGTAAAATAAAAATTTGTGACGTATACGATAAGCATACAAATGCATGACAATGAAAGCGGTAAGGAAGTGCTCGACAAGCCCAACATATTTGATCTTGTCTGTTTTTGAACTCGCAGTGATGGGGTGCTTCCTACACTTCTCACTTTCAAACATGTATTCCTTGATGTACCCTGTTGCAGTGAGTGCTAAGGGTACACCGTGCTCCCCTGAGGTCTGTGGCCACTAAAAAGCAGAAAGTGTGACATTTGAAACAAAAACACAAGTGATAAAGAGCTTTGAGGCTGGACAGGTGAGGGGTGGCTGTCAGACGATTCACCTTCGCCTGTCACCAGACATGAAGACTAAGCCTTCCTCCCTGCACCACTCACCACCACCACAGCTGCCGTCCCTCACTGACTCACCAGAAATCGGGTTAATAGTCATCTTACTTGTTTGTATTAATCTTTCTGAATGTATGTATGGCTCCCATTTACTTCAATGCTTTGTATTAGAAGTGTGCGGGGTCTTTATGTAGAAATTTGGTGCTGTTTTTGTGACCAGGAATATGCCATAGGAACTTAACCCTTGTTTATATCAATTAGCCTGGGATCCAACTGGTTTCATTATATGTTGTTTCACTTACAATTTCCAAGAACCTATCAAGGACATTGAGGACTTACTGCATAGAAAAGCTGAGTGATACTATCAACCAGCTTCACTTAATTGACATGTATATGCTCTGCCACATGGCATAATTCACATTATTTTCAAATGCACATGGAACATTCACCAAGATAGACCATAAAACATTTGCTCATCTATTAAATAAATCTTACCCAACTTTAAAAGAACCGAACTCATATAAAGTATGTTCTCTGGCTACAACAGAATTAAAGTAGAAATAACAAACAGAAAGTTATCTGGAAAATTCCCAAGTATTTGGAAATTAAACACACTTCTAAATATCCCATGGGTCAAAAAAGAAATCACAAGATAACTTAGAAAATATTTTGAAATGAATGAGATAATACAATGTATCAAAAATTATGGGGCAATCTAAGGCAGTGCTGAAAGGAAAATGAACGTCATTAAATGCTTTCACTAGAAAACAAAAAAAGTCTCCAATCAACACACGAACCTTCCACCTTAAGAAAAGAGGACAAGGAGAACAAATTAAATCCAGAGTAAGTGCAAGGAAGGAAATAGTATGAGAGCAGAAAGGAATCAAACTGAAAACGAGAAAAGCCAAAGAAAAAGAATCTATAAAACCAAAATCAAATTCTTTGAAAAAAATCAATAAAATTGATAAATCCTTAGAGTGATGTAGAAAAAAAAAAGACACAAGTTGCTGATATCTGGGCTGAAAGCCTACCGACATTATGAGGGTGTTATGAACAACACTATGCCAAGAAATTTGGTATCATGGATGAAATGGACAAACTTGCAAATACAAACTACCAAAGCTCACTCAGGAAGATTTAGATAACCCAAATATTTTTGTATTGAAGAAACTGACTTCACAGTTTAAAATCTTCTCAAAACAAAAGCTCCAGGCCTAGATGTCTTCACTACTGAATTCTACTAAATATTTAAAGAATAATTATTTTACAATATAGGACTCTCTTAGCATATAGGAGCAAACTCTTTCCAATTCTTTTTCTAATTCCTGCGTTTCCCTAATGCCAAAACCAGATACAGACATTATGAGAAAAGCAAACTACTGACCAGTGACACTGATGAACATAGATGGTAAGGGTTTGATACAATGTTGCCAAGCAGAATCCAGCGATACACAAAAAGGGTAAAAAGCATGACCAAGTGTGGCTTACCCCAGAAGTGAAAGGTTGGTTCAACGTTTGAAAATTAACGAATGTAATTCATCTTCTGAAAAGATTTTTTTAAAAAAGAAAAACTGATCATCTCAATTGATGGAGCAAAAGCACGTTGGCTGTGGGTCCCGGCCTCAGCTCCCATGTCGTTTCTGCTGCTCACCCATCTGTGGCCTTTGCTAAAGGACTAACAGCCCTGAGTGGACTCCCCTCATCTGATGACAGGCAGAGCCATTCCGTCCTCCCTGTGCTGGAGCGAGAACTAGCGATGGTAATGGAATTGTTGCCTTAAGAGCTTGAGAAGCAAGAACGGGCACTCATCAGCGTCCCTGCCCTACTGGCCCGTGGAGGCAGCGCTGGGGGCTGGCCTCCTGAAAGAGGCAGCAGCGGCATTCCCAGCTGGCCCCCGGAGCATCACAGGGTGAGTCTGTGCCAGAAACGAGTCAGGCTCACACGCAGACCGTGGCTCAGGGCTCTGTGTGCAAAGGGCAGCTGGCCGTGTGTCTGATCCTTGCCAGAGGCAGCTGTGTCACCAGTTCCAAAATCCCATCAAAAGCTGCATTTAATTCAGTGAGCCACAGAGAGTCCTCAGAGATTTCTTAGCAGACCAGTAACGACTGCAGAAATGCTGGGAGTTATTGGAAATCCAGATCGCACACGTTAATTGTAACTGACAAGGGACCCAGGTGATGAGGATGCTAAGTTCACCAAAAGCACTGCTCAGAAAAAGGCACCCTTGCCTTGCCAACATCCCCAGGTCCCTGGGATCTGGCCAGGACCCCACATGGACTTTCACCGTAGCAGGCTATGGCTTCCTGCTGTTTCCTTGAGTGAGCTTGTGTGTCTGTCTCCCAGCTCCCCTGGAGTCGTGCCGAGAGCAGCTGTAGGTTCTTCTCCCCAGGTCAACCACATGGAGAGACAAGGAGGACACACGCAGGTGCACCCAAGGAGGGGAGGGGGGCACTCCATGCTGGAGCAGACACACTGCTCAGTTCCATTGGTAGCACTGCCATCCCTTCCACTAAAGGTTTTGCTTCGTAACGCAGTAGCCCCCTGTGTTCTCAGAGTCCTTTCCCCTGGCCCTTCCCATTCCAGGATGGGAGGCCCACTAGGTGTTCAGCCCTGGCTGTAGCAGTCATCTCCTGGGATGCTGGCTGGCGCATTTGTGCATTCATTGAAGCTGAGCTACATGACTTTTAGTGTCAGATGCTTCGAGTCTCTGGGGAAACTGGCTCAGGACAAAGGCATTTGGGATAGTTCAAAAATGGTAGGAAGCCTCAGAAAGTGAGACCAAGCTGGGTGAATTTAAGCAACATTTATCCAGCATATTGTGTAATGCCCAACCATTCATGTGTTCATTAAATTATAGCTATTTTTAATTTCTTTCAAGAAAAAAAAGAAATGGCCACAGGTCAGTTATAATGTAGCACATTTGACACCCAGCACCATGACTGCCTTACACATGGGAATCTATTTAATCTGAGGTGGGCTCTATTATCGCCATTTCACATTTGTGGAAACAGCCATGGAAGAACTAAAGAATTTGCCCCAGGTCCTCCCAAAAGCACCTGCAAGTTGCCAGGCACACCACCTCATCACGGACGCACTCCAGCCCCATAGTCAGGGCTGCCTTGCGCCTACAGCTTGGCCATCCCCGAATGACATCTTGGCTCCTGGCCTCGTCCGCACACCCCCAAGCCTGTTTACCCTACTACTACCTGGAACTGACTCTGGAACACTCTGGAACAAGCAGAGACTTTCCTAGGCTGAACTTAAAACTTCTGTGCCTGTTTGCCAAAAGCAAATCAAAACCTCAGACATGGATATGTCAGAGAAGCGGTGGCATTTCTTATTACTTCAGCCCCAGGCTGAAGGCTGGAGATTGATTACAAGCGACCCAGTGACATCAGGGACCCAGAACACTGCCATGCCCACCTTGTAGGTTTTTCTTAAAACGATCCCCTTACTATCCCCACACAGCTACCACAAGCAGAGGAGAAATCAGTAGTTGGAAAAAGGAACCATTCCTTCACTTTTTCTCCCTTTATACGTGAAGAAGGTCCTACCTTGAACCCAGCGGCAACCGCATAGTGCCCACAGCTGTGTCCTGGCTAAAGGACTGAGGTCAACCTAGCAGTGCTGGCTTCCTGTGGCTCCTGGAATGGCGTGGCCCCATGGGGTGAACAGACGCTGGGTCCTGGGAACAGTTAAGAAACGGAGCATGGTTCAGGGACCAAGCCCCTTACTGCGGAGAAGCCCTGTGTGCACATCTTCAGCTTCCCGAGCAACAGCATTCAGAATCCGTCCTGCGCTCCTCTGAATCCCCACGTGTCCGCCATTACTGGGTTCTTAGTCTTACTCACAGAATAAAGCAGTGGACCCTTGCAGAGAATGGTGCAGCTTCTTAAAGGCGGCGTGTGCGGGAGCGCGCCCCGTTTGTTCCTTCCTATATGCAGATATGTTAGCAATTTCTGCCTTCTGGGGGGTTCATGGTATCGCTGGTTCACGAGTGAAGCTACAAACCTCCGTGGTGAGTGTTAGAGTTCTTAAGGCAACACACCTGGAGTTGTTTGTTCCTGCCAATACATCCGGGGCCTCTAGCTTCAAATACGAAGCTGCAAACCTTTGGGGTGAGTATTACAACTCATAAAAGCAGTATGGACCCAAACACTAAACAATAAAATTTTTGGCAAAAAGCAAAAAAAAAAAAAAAAAAAAAAAAAAAAAAAAAAAAAACAAAGTTTCAACAGCATAGAAATAGACCAGAGCACGTTACTACCGTTGGCCCGGGCAGCCCGCTTTTATTCTCTTATCTGGCCCCCCCACCCACATCCTGCTGATTGGTCCATTTTACAGAGAGCCGATTGGTCTGTTTTACAGAGAGCTGATTGGTCCGTTTTGACAGGGTGCTGATTGGTGTGCTTACAATCCCAGAGCTAGACACAAAAGTTCTCCAGGTCCCCACTAGATTAGCTAGATACAGAGTGTCCATTGGTGTATTTACAAACCCTGAGCCAGACACAGAGTGCTGATTGGTGCATTTACAAATCTTGAGCTATATACAGAGTGCCGATTGGTGCATTCACAATCCCTTAGCTAGACATAAAGATTCTCCAAGTCCCCACCAGATTAACTAGATACGGAGTGCCCATTGGTGCATTCACAAACCCTGAGCTGGACACAGGGTGCTGATTGGTGTGTTTACAAACCTTGAGCTAGATACATAGTGACGATTGGTGCATTCACGATCCCTCAGCTAGACATAAACGTTCTCCAAGTCCCCCCTAGACTCAGGAGTCCAGGTGGCTTCACCCAGTGGATCTCACACTGGGGCCGCAGGTGGAGCTACTTAACAGTCTTGCGCCGTGTGCCCGCACTCCTCAGCCCCTGGGTGGTTGATGGGACCGGGAGCCGTGGAGCAGGGGGCAGCGCTCGTCGGGGAGGCTCAGGCCACGCGGGAGCCCAGGACACAGTGGGGAGACTCAGGCATGGCGGGTTGCAGGTCCCGAGCCCTGCCCTGCAACCCGGGCGAGAAATCGAGCGCAGCGCTGGTGGGCCGGCACTGCTGGGGGACGTGGCGCACCCTCCGCAGTTGCTGGCCCGTGTGGTAAGCCCCTCACTGCCTGGGGCCGGCCACGCGGCCGCTCCGAGTGCAGGGCCAGCCAAGCCCACGCCCACCCGGAACTGTAGCTGGCCTGCAAGCGCCGCGCGTAGCCCCGGTTCCCGCCCGTGCCTCTCCCTTCACACCTCCCTGCAAGCCGAGGGAGCCAGCGCCGGCCTCCGCCAGCCCAGAGAGGGGCTCCCACGGTGCAGCGGTGGGCTGAAGGGCTCCTCAAGCGTGGCCAGAATGGGCGCCGAGGCCGAGAAGTTACCAAGAGCGAGGGAGGGCTGCGAGCACGCTGTCACCTCTCACCCATGTCACTCAAGACCTCAGCAGCAAATAAGTAGCTGAGCCCTCGCTCCTCGAAACGCAGCCCCTCCCGGTTTCTTGGACTCTGAGTTCCTTTCACCTCCTAACTCATCCCTTGGGTGCCCCAGAGCCCATCCTGGGATCGCAGCAGTTCTCGATCACAGGGTCTCAGGCAGGCCAGGGGATTGGGGCCATGTCCGCGCTGGCCACGCCCAGGCTTCCCGTCTCCAGCCTCAGCTTCCCCTGGACTCTTGGGGTCCTTCTTGCCTCTTGTCTTTCCCTCTCGCCCCCACACCGAATCTATTGACCAGCTTCATTAACTCTACCTTAAAGTCCATCCAGAATGTGCTGGCTGCAGCCCTCCGTTCTCATCTGAGCCTGCAGCGGCCTCCTGGGGCTCTGGGTCCTGCCTTTCCCTCCAGGTGAGCCAGTGGTCCCTTACTTGGAAATTCCTCGTACTCCCTTCTGCTGGGCTCCACCTTGCTCCCTGGGGTCCCAGCCGCCACCTCCCTGCCTCTGGGGATCAGTGAGAAGTCCTCACACACCCACTGGATTCCTCTGTGGCACCTGCCGGCGCCTGGAACCGCATCCCCATGCTTAGGGCCTGTGTGACTCCTGAGCCAAACAGCCCGAGAGGACAGGCCCGGCCCCCACCCATCGCGGTGCCCAGGGCCCGCCAGCGCCAGGCTCAGGGAACACTGGCTGAGCTGGTGAGCTGTGGGACCCAACACGGGGTGCCTCCATTTCCTCAGTTATAAAATCAGGGGGCTCGGTGACTTCCAAGCTTCGATATGAAACCATTTCTCTAGAAGGGTGCTGGGTCACTTTGCTCTGATTGCCTTAACGAGCACCACGCGCTGGGCGTGCACTCCGGGCTTCAGCAACACACGTTTGTTCTCTCACAGTCCTGGAGGGCAGACGGCTTTGAGCCACGTGTGGCAGGGCTGGCTTCTCTGGAGACCTCTCCTTGGTTTGCAGATGGTGTCTTCTCCCTGTAGCCTCGCGGGGGCCTCCCTCTGTGTGTCTGCGCTCTCTCCTCTTCTTAAAGGAGCACCACTCATGTTAGTTTAGGGCTCACCCTGAAGACCTCATTTTAACTCAATTCTCTTTCTAAAGGCCCTGTCTCTAAATGCAGTCACTTTGAGGTACAAGAAGCGTCTTCATCCATTCTCTGTCACTTATAACAGAATATCAGAAACTGGGCAATCTATAAAGAAAAGGAATTTATTTCTTGAAGTTATGGAGGCTGGGAAGTCCAAGATCGCGGGGTGGGGCTGCATCTGGTGAGGGCCTTCTTGCTGGTGGGGATTCTGCAGAGTCCTGGCAGCGCAGGGCATCACATGGTGAGGATGCTGAGCATGCCGGCTCACGTCTCTCTTCCTCTTCCTATAAAGCCACCAGTCCCAATAGCATGATAAACCATTAAATCCATTAGCCCATTAATGCATAAACCATCTATTAAAGGCCCCACCTCTCAAGACTTCCACACTGAGGATTACTTTTCAACATGAGTTTTGTGGGGACAAATCTTCAAACCATAGCATGGGGGTTAGGACTTCAACATATGAGTTTGGAGGGGGACACAGTCAGCCCATAACAGATTATAATGTCACAGCCTCGAGTGGAGCCACAGGACCTCCCGGGGGGACTCAGTGCCAGGCCTCCATGGCAGTGGCCTGGAGGAAGGAGGCAATTCTGAAAGCAACATCTGAATGATGAGAAGGTGGTTTCGAGATTGCTGTGCTTGTGCTTACGAGCCTGTTTATTAGATGATTTTCCAGTAAACCTCCTTGTGAAAACGTGGGGATTTTTTCTCCCATTGTTTTGCTGTCCGATGGCAGCCCAGACAGGTGAGTGGAACGTTGGTCTCACCGCTTCCTCTCCACTGCGGCGCTCGGTGCAGCCCTTCCTCTGGCTCGTTCTCCCTCCCTCCCTTAAATACAGAAATGAGCCCCTGAAACATTACTTCAAGGGATGCTTACTCTGTGGGGCGGCCTGCATTGGAAATTCCTGTGGAGGAGAGAGGGACCAGCCCTGCGGCCTGGGCTGTTTGCATCTGGATCCCTCGCCGGCACTTCCTTTCGGGAGGCTGCCTGGCTTTCTCATTGTGCAGGATCCATCATGCAGACCACTGCTCTCCTGTACTGCATGGTGGAACGCTCCTCAGCACAGTGCTCGCCTCACCAGGGGGAAACTGTGAGTGACCTCAGAAGACAGAATTGCCACGCCAGTAAAAGCCCGCATCCCCCGCCCCCATGGCCTCAGCTAGGGAGGGGCAATGCTGCGCGCTGCGTGGTCAGCAGGCTTCCAGGGGCACCGGAGGCTCACCCGACTGCTGTGTGCACGTCCATCTTATGAGCCCCGCCCTCCCAGCCCCGCAGCCTCTCCCTGGCCTGGACATGCGGTGCCACCCATGAGCACCTGCTGTTTGTCATCCGTGCCATCCATGAGCACCTGCTGTTTGCACCCACACAGCGTCTAGAAAAGGAAGCAGTTCGGGGAGGTCAGGACATGCGCTGGGAAGAGGCAGGCTGGCAGAGGGTGGTCCCATCCTTAAAATGGGGTGCTGGAGAGCCGGGTGAGGTGGCCGGCCCCGTCCTCCCAGCCCAGCGCGCTTGCGCCTGGGTTTCCCCAGCCCCTCCCGGCCGCCTCAGCCCCTGCCTGTGTTCCATGGGGGCTTCTTGGTTTCTTGTAAAAGACACAATTAGAGTAACCCCAGAGCTTGATTCCCACCTCACTTCATAAACACAACAGGGAAATGCCGGTGACACACAAGCGTTCCTCAAACCACCTTGTTTTTGAGCTCTGCAATGGAAACACACCACTTCCTTCCACTGAGTCAGGCCCACGCCTCCCGGCGGCGGGCACCGCCCCCCAGCTGCCTGTGCCATCCCAGCCAGAGCCCAGATCATTCTTTCCACTAAGACGCCTGAGTCTCCTGGTGGAACCCAACCCTTTCAAAGACTGTGGGTTGGTGTGGGGTTTTTTTGCTGTTGTTGTTTGGTTTTTGGTTTTTCTTAAATTGCATAAGACACTAAATAGGTTAAATGAGGTTAGTGGGGTGTGCTCACCTGCAGTCCACATTCCCAGTGACACCCCCCAGCACCCCCCACTGAAGAGACTCCTCTGTGTGGCTGTTTGGATCCACATCAGCGACCCTGAAGCATGAGCAGAAGCTGGACAGGGAGGCAGAGGCAGGGAGCAGCAGGCGCCGGGGGAGGGGACAGACCTGCGCCTTCTTATCGTGGCCGCTCTGAGCAGCCGCCTTGCACTGCTGAGTTCTGCTGCTCCAGGGCTGCCCAGCACTGCAGCTAGAACTTCTCTATGTGGGACCCCAGCACCCCGTACAGCATCCCTTTTGCGTGTGAATAGATGATCCCTGCCTCAACTTCCCCTGCAGGGGCTGCCCCAGCTTTTGCCTCATCTCCCCTACTGCTTCTCATCCTTCCAGGGAGCCAGGTTGGGCTGGGGGAGGGACAGGTCCACCAGGCGGGCATGCAGGTAGGTGGGCAGGTCCTGGGCCTGAGGAAGCAACAAGAAGTGTGAGGGACAGGCACCTGATATTTCCATAAAAAGTGTGACTCAGCACTGAGCCAGGACCCCTAGCAGACAAGCCGAGGGGCTTCCTGCTAGGTCACAGCTGGACTCAGGAGAAGCAGCCGAGCTCAGGGCAGAGATGGCTGTGCCACGCTGGGCAGGGTGGCAGCTCTGAGATCCCCACCAGGCTGGCTGCCCAGTTCCCTCTCCTAGCTTTGTCCCTCAGTCCTCCTGCCCGGCCACCCCGCCCCTTCTGTTCACCACAGCCTCCAGCCCCACCTAGGCACTTCCTGAAAGCCCACAGTGACCCCAGTATTTTCACATCACCAGCACATAGGATGAGCATTGCTTCATTTGGAAATTGCAGTGTCTTCTCCTAGAGGAGTGGACACAGTAAGACCACATCTAGCTTTCAGCATGACTCTCAGAGACCCACTCTGGCCCCAAGCTTCCTGTGACACTGGTGACCTGGAGTCATGGGCTCTAGAGCTTCACAGAAACAGCCCATCATGGGCCGGAGACAGAGTGACCGCCCCCTGTCCCCCCACCTCCCAGATTCCCTAGCTGCCCCACTGGGGGCTCCTCCACTCTGGGATCCATCTTCCGTGCCTCTGACTCACCAGTGCCCCTGCTTTTTCCTACCCGAACCTCTGACTATAACAGGGCTGCACTTCGAGAAAGATATTTCTGTTGCAATCAACCCATTTTTCCAGGGGCCTGAGTGCCACTGTGCCTGCATTTCCCTGGTAACCATTTCTTGAACAGTTCCTATGATGGTTTCTGGAAAGGCCCAAACCAGGGCCCTAAGCAGAGTCTTCAATCCTGTTACCTGTTTTGGTTCCAGAGACTCCACTGCATGACAGCAAAGCTAAAAACCCAGGAAACCAGAAGTGCCAGAGAGCATGTCTTGGAGGTGTGCCCTGCCTCCCTCTGCTTGTTTACAGCCATCCTGATGAATCCCCTAAACTATCACTTCAAACCCCTAAAGGCTGGAGGAAGACAAAAGCAAATGCCACCACTGTTGCCATCTGAAAAGCAAGAGCAGCTCTGAGAGCTCAGCACAACCCATGTTTGTGAGTCCCCCTCGCCTGGCCCAGCCGTTCTCCCTCCACACCACGCCCTGCCCTCCCTGGCACCATCCACTCGCTTCCTCCCCAGTGTTGTGGTTTGGTCTTTGATTTCAAACACACTCAACATCCATTCAGTACATGCTGAGCTGTCATCAAATTCATTCACCACGCATTTGCCTAAAGCCTGCCGTGCGGCGTCCTCTGGAGCTCCTCAAGGCCCTACGCCTGCTGTCCCTCCCTGCAGGGGCCCCCTCGGTGCCAGGCTTGCTCCCGGGGCCACACCTTGGTCCCTGAGGAGGGCTTGTCCAGTGGACAAAAGCACGAAAGGCCTCAGGACTCATCTGCTGCAAGGGGACTCCCCTTAGTAAGCTGGGACCCGGGGCCCACATTGCTGTCCGCATCCACCTGTGTAATTCACGCGATGCCCACCCCAGCTTTGTGAGCCATGTGCTGCTGCACCCCCACTTCACAGATGATGAAAACTGAGGTGCCCCAGGCACCCAGCCGATCAGTGGCACAACTTGGAACAAAGCCACAAAGATCCCACCACGGCACTCAGGAGACAAGGGCGTGCAGGGGAAGGTGAATAGTGCAGAGCCCGCCCGCACCGCATTCTATGCTCCAAGGAGGCTGCTCCAGTGCTAATGGGAAGATGTTCTTTGTTGTTGTTGTTGTTTTGTTGTTGTTGTTTCTTGAGACGGAGCGTCGCTTTGTTGCCCAGGCTGGAGTGCAGTGGTGCAATCTCTGCTCCCTGCAACCTTCGCCTCCCAGGTTCAAGCGATTCTCCTGCCTCAGCCCCCTGAGTATCTGGGACTACAGGCATGTGCCACCACATCCAGCCGATTTTTGTATTTTTAGTAGAGATGAGGTTTCACCGTGTTGGCTTTTGAACAGCATTTTGGAGCTCTTCTTCCCTCCCTTGGTTCCTTTTCCCCACTTCTCTGCTTTACTTTGGGCCCCCAGTTAGTGGGTTAGAAACTCTAGGAAAAGCAAAAAGCTGTACGAGGAAGGGAAGGCCACCCAGCGCCCCTTGGCTCCGCGGGGAAGAGTTTCCTGGTGCTTCAGGGACGTGGCCTCCCCATTGGCTCTCAGCCTGTAGGGCAGACAAAGCGCAGAAGACTCGGTTATGGTCGCCAAGCAAAGCCCACATCATCAGCTGCAATTTGATCACAGACGACCATAGGCGTATTGCAGTTTCGCCCCAGAGAGTGACCCTGTGGCTAAGCGGAAGAGAGAGGGGGCCTGCGGGAAAGGAAGGGGGGATGCCACGGAGGGACAGCCAGCAGGACAGCTGGGGACAGCACTGTCACCATCGGGGCGTGGGAGGGTAGACGGCTCTCGAAGGCAAACTCCCGCACTCACTGAGGAAGTCAGTAGGTAAGACAATCAGCAACCCGGGGCACAGGGCGCACAGTCTTGGGTGGAGTCCTGGGTGGAGGCAGTCCTGGGTCCACAGTCCTGGGTGGAAGCACCTGCAGACGCACAGGTGGAGGGAGCCAGGTGCCGCTCTGGGGAAGGAGTGCCTGGGGCTTCTTCTTCCTATTCAAAGCCTTGCTGTGTTCTTTGATATTTTACCACAGATGTCATTACCTTGACAATGTTTTACAAGACCAGTGAACACAGTACCAGAGGAGTTGGGTGCTCGTCTTGGCTTCTTGTTTGGGCAATAGCTTCCCACCTGTAGTTAATGAATATCTTCCCCCACGTACCCCCACACAGTTGTTTTGAGGCTCAAGGGAGATATTTAGATAGTTCCAAAGCAGCCAGGGCATTTTCAAGTAGTAGCAATAGTAGTAGTGATTATTGCATTATTATCATTCTTAGAACAGGGAAGGCAGACGTGAAAAACAGTCCAAAAATAAAAATAAATTAAGACACTAATGAGAGCCATTCAACACCACTTCAATGGAGGAAGAATGTTTATAAGGGAACACCTGAGGCCTGCAGAGATGTTGCCTGTATCTGAAAAGGTGCTGGTTGCAGTGAGGGTGGCTCTGCCCTCAAGGAGGCAAACCCACAGTATGTAGACAAAATTATTCAAAGGGTCACCCTTGACCCACTCACTCCACTTGTTAAGAACATATTCCTTGGAAATAATTATTAATATACATGCACACATCTAAGGGGGCCAACCTAAATTTCAACAATGGAGAAACAAGTAATAAAATGTGGCTCTTGGCCAGGCTCGGTGGCTCCCGCCTGTAACCCCAGCACTTTGGGAGGCTGAGGAGGGCGAATCACCTGAGGTCAGGAGTTCGAGACCAGCCTGGCCAACAAGGTGAAACCCCGTCTCTACCAAAATACAAAAAAATTAGCCAGGCATGGTGGCACGCGCCTGTAGTCCCAGCTACTTGGGAGGCTGAAGTAGGGGACTCCCTTGAACCCGGGGTGCGGAGGTTGCAGCGAGCCAAGATTGCTCTACTGCACTCCAGCCTGGCGACAGGGCAAGACTCCGTCTCAAAACAAACAAACAAAAAAATGTGGCTCTTAATCCTCCTCAAACATGTTATGAATACCCTGTAGCAACATGGAAAATGTTTATTCTATTGTAATTAGACAATACAATTGCATTTATACGATGACTATAGCCATGTCAAAAGCATGAATACAATTAGAAAGGAATAACGAAAAGTAAAAGTATCTGTTGTGTCAGGAAGTGTGCAATGAGAGATTATTTTCTACATTTTCACTCCTTCCTTCATTCAACAGCCATTCCAAGGTGAAGCAGCCCCTCCCTCTGGAGCTGAGGGTTAGTCCCGCGGTCCTTAGGCAACCATTATGGCGCAGGAGAAGGGACGGTGCCACGGCATTTCCCCCACCTTAACTTGACAGGAGGAGTCTGGTCAGGAAGCGTGAAGAAAAATGGCTCTCCTTGCGATTAGGAGGCCGTGGCAGTGGACACGGAGATGAAGGATGGAAGAGGGACATTTCACAAAATGTGCAGTGAATTTGTGACCCACGTTTGCCCCGAGAATTTTAAGAAATGAATGTACAAACAGGTTCCCAAATATTTAAGTGCATTGTCTGGGGGAGCTTCTGCCGCTGTCCCCATCATGAGTAAGTGTCTGGATGGTGGAGTCAGTGCGGGAGGTCAGAGGGGGCTGCAGACGAGCAGGGCTGCTGAGGGGCTGGGACACTGAAGTGTGTCACCATCATAGAGGTCCCCGCCACCAAATACCAGTAAGCCAGGCCTATGTCCTCCACTCTAATGCACCCCAGCCTGAGGGTTGTGGCCAGGGCTCCCTCCAGGCCTCTTCCGTGTGGAGGTTGACCTGGGGCTGGGGGAACACAGGCAGGACACATGAGTGGGTCCCTGAGCTTGGACATTGACAGTGCAGAGGGTTGTATGCACCAGAAACACCCGCTCTTCTGAGCCTAACACACGTCCCTGAGCCCGGCCCCTCCTGGGAGAGCTGCCGATTACACAGGCCATGTCTTCTCCATGGATTCTGAACCTGCATCCCACCTGCAACCCAAACAAGAGGTGACAGATGAGGCAGCCCTTTCCCAGAGGCCAGTCCTGCCACCGGAAGCATGGTGGAGAGAACTGAAGAGGCCACTCTCCTTGAGGCTGGAGGTGCAGGAGAGATTTGGGAGGTGACAGAAGAATAAGTGCCGAGACCCCTCTGTGGGTCCTGGGTGAGCTGGCAAGATGGGCCACCCTTCACCTGTGAAAGGCCCCTGGGGCACTTGTCTTGGTGTGGGAATGGAGGGCTGTGGGCAGCCCCAGCTCCCAGAGCACAAGGGGAGGTGCCTGCAGTAGCCGCCTTCCACTTCCACTCAGCCTGCTCCCCTTTGAAACCCACCTGAGGGTGGGCCCTGAGCAGGGGTGAGGTGGGAGGTGTGTTGGCAGCTGGAGCTGCCCACAGACTCCACACAAGTGTCCTGTAGTGTAAGGCAAGGACAGGGGAGTGGCTGGGCTGCAGAAGAGGGGTACGAATGCCCTCGAGCTTCTCTGACAGCGCCTCCATCACCCATGTGCCAGCTCTTAAGTGTCCGCCTGGAGGTGATGGGGTCACTTCCTCTCACATTTCAGCTGTTGAAGTCGGTAATGTGGCTGAGCTTTCCTGCAAAGAAGCCAGGGGAGTAGAACTCACCAGAAAGTTTGTGAAACCTCATGCTTTCTATAAAGGGAAATCGATTTTGTCTTCAGTGATGGGAGGGGCGTGCCAAAGAGTAAAGACAGTGCCACTGGCCGTAAATAACGAGCTGACTCCTCTAGGCAGCTGTAGAATGGGAAGGGATGGGAGGAGATGGGATGGATGGGAAGGGATGGGAGGGGATGGGATGGAGTAGGATGGGATTGAAAGGGAAGAGATGGGATTGGAAGGTAAGGGATGGGAAGAGAATAGACAGTAAGGGAAGAGATGGGATGGGACGGAAAGGGATGATATAGGATGGGAAGGGATGAGACAGGGTAGGAAGGGATGGGATGGGATGGGATGGGATGGGATGGGATGGGATGGGATGGGATGGGATGGATAGGATGGATGGGATGGATGGGTGGGAGAGGATGGAAGGGAAGGAAATGGAAGAGATGGAAAGGATGGGATGGGGTGGATGGGATGGGTTGAAACGGATGGAATGGGATGGATGGGATGAGATGGAAGGGATGGTAAGGAATGATATGGAATGGAATGGAATGGGGTAGAATGGGATGGGAAGGATGGGGTAGATTGAAAGGGAGAAGATGGAAGAGAATGGTGGGAAGGGATGGGAGGGGAGGGGATGGCATGGGATAGGATGGGAATGGAAGGGATGGGAAGGCAAAGGATGGGACAGGTGGAACGGGAAGGGAAGGGTGGGATGAGCTGGGATGGGATGGGATGTGATGAAAGGGATGGGATGGATGGAAGGGATGGGATAGGATTAGAAGGAAAGGGGAAGGGAGAGGAGGGCAAGGGAAGGGAGCGGGGAGGAAGGGATGGGATGCCTACTCCCCAGACGAGCGCCAGCCTTAACTCCCAGCCTAGGAGTGGCATCCTGGGCTGGACTATCACTCTCCAAGACCCTACTGACATGCCCAGCCCCAGCCTCAACCCGAGAAGACAAAGACCACTTTCTGACTGGCCAGAGGTTTGAATAAAGGTAGTTCAGCAGGCAAGTGTGATATGAAAGGACCTCAGCAAAGGGAACAGGATACTTCAATGCCAAATGTGCCTGTGCTGCCAGGGCCATCACAATGTTGGCCATCACAAGATTGGTCCCGTGAACCGCAAGTGATAGAAATAGAGATGCACAGTGAGCTGATGCAAGGGAACGCAGCACGCTCATGAGAAGGTGCTGGATGAATGCCAGGTACTTCATTATCGCCCAAGCCATAGGTGGTAGATTACAGAGTGTTAATTACTACGGAAGACTTGGATCACAGCTGCCTTGCACGTGGCTGCACTGACTCTATCCTGTTGGAACTCTCTTTCCAGAAGAGCTGTTGCAAAACCCTTTGCTTAGGCTTCCTCCAGTTTTCACAGCATCACTGGCAGAGAGTGATTTTGTTACACCCCTATCAGCAAATCAGTAGGGCTCTCCTGGGAAATTTAAATTTCCTATGTTTTCTAGTATTGCGTGATGCTCTTCTTTTTGGCCATATTTTTGGACAATGAACATCCACGGAAAAATCTGAGTTTCAATGCAACTAGACTAGTAGAATATATTTGGTACATTTATATCAGGAAATACTAAGATTTCTTTCTGGTAAATTCAGATGAATCTAAATAAAGCAAAATGATGGATATTTAACACAATCCTTAGTTGATGTGTATGATATATTTATGTTAAATATTCTGAGACATACAAAATTTTCTGAGACATATGTCTTTTAAGAGTCATTTGTTTCTTGGCACAATGTCTGGGATTTATTCCAAAATAATTCTAGGGGAGGGGCAAAGGGCAGGTCACAGATGAGATGAGGCTGGGGCTGGTGATGAGTATACATGGCCATTATGCTATTCTTTCTGTCAGTGCATGATTTGAAAGTTATTTCATGTACACTTTGAACAGACAAGTTCCTATAAGGCATCAGAGCAATTCTTGGTCTGCTGCTGACAATGAAAAATGTATGATGAGATCAAATACCTGGGAGGTAAGAATACTTTTCACATGTTGTTAATGGCTGAAAAAAAATTATGTGCAGTGAGCTGGGTTTGAACCACAGTCCGTCGTTTGCAGACTCCTGAAATGATATCAGAGAGAGATGAGCACAAAGCCAAGAAGGGAAGGCATGAGGCCTGGAATCAGCCCACCGGCCCCGTCTGACAGCCGTCTCACCAGGGAAACCTCAGTGTCTCTAAAGAAAGTCTCAATGGAGCCATGCTGACCCCTTCAGAGAAAAAGTCTGCCACCCCCTGTGGTACGTCCTATATGTTTATGCTCATTTGTTTATTATTATTTGTATCCCCAGCCACAGAGGGCAGGTGTCTGCTTCTTCAGCACTCTTCACCCTGCAGAGATGAGATCAAGCGCAGTCAGGCTATCTGGAGCGGAACTCGTCCCTCTTATAAGCTGGGTGACCACGGGTAACTTATTTGACCTCTCTGTTCCACGTCTGTAAAATGGGATGATCGTAGTACTTCCCTCATGGAGTTCTTTTATGAATCAGTAAGTTAATGCCAGCCAGTAAACGACAGCCATGTATGTGTTCCAGCGATTACTGCCCTGGTGGCAGTCAGAAGTCATGGAGGCTGAGCTCCTTTGTTTTGCATTTCTAAAACTCAGTGTCCCTTCAGCCAGTTTTCCTAGATCTACTCTACTTGCCAAAAAGAAAAAAGAATCCACTCTGTCCTAAAAGAAGACTGACTTCTCTCACGCTTAACAGGTTCAAATTGTGGCAGCTTTCATAGAATGGTGTTTTCTCTGCCTTTACTATCAAGGACTGGGGGCTTCTGGGACACAAGTGCAGGGGCCCCTCCCTGTGCACACTGCTGGGTGCTTCTGCCAAGCACCTGTTTTCACCAGTGCACCCTGCAAATACAGCCTCCTTCAGCATTTGGCTAAGGATGCAGCTCTGGAGAAGCCTGCCCTGGTGAGGCCTGAAGTCCAGTTCCCGTCCTGGCTCTGCCACCGTTGCACATACCTGTGCTGGGCATGGGATCTGTTCAGTTAACATCATGTTAACTGTCTCCTGTCTCCATTAAAAAAAGTCAAGTCAGCTGCTGCTGCAGAAAATAATATGGTGGTCTTCAAAAGTGACACGGAATTACTACCTGGTCCAGCAACTCCACTTCTGGGTAGAATTCTAAAAGAAGTGAAAGCAGGGCCTTGAGACATTTGCACACCCATGTTCATCGCAGCATTACATATTTGCACACCCATGTTCATCGTGGCATTATTCACAAGAGTCAAAAGAAAGCAACCCAAGTGTCCATCAAAAGAAGAATGGACCAGCAAAATGTGGAATGATATGATATGATGGAATGTTACTCAGATGGCAAAAAAAAGGGGATTCTAACACATGCTACAACATGCATGAACCTTGAGGATATTTGCTAAATGGAATAAACAGGTCATAAAAGGAAAAAACACTGTGTGATTCCACTTCTGTGAGGCTCCTACAGCAGTCAATTCGTAGAGACAGAGCAGAATGGTGTCTGCCAGGGGCTGGTGGAAGAGGAATGGGGAATTGGTATTTAATGGAGACAGAGCTTCAGTTTGGGAAGATGAAAACGTCCTAGAGAAGGATGATGGTGATGGTTGCACAACCATGAAAAGGTGCTTGGTGCCACCGACCTCTGCACGTAAAAATGGTTAAAATGGTGCATTTTTATATTATGTGTACATAAAAAAATTGATGTTGGTGCTTCCTTCATCTTTCTATTCCCTGCACCTAGCTGAGACCCCTGGTGCTCTCTCCTGGACTCATTCCAGAGCAGAATGAAACACATTCTCTTGAACATTCACAGTTGTTTCCAGTGAAATTGATTTAGGGAAACAGCCAGATATTACTCAGAGTCCAGTCAGCAGGCGTTGTTTGGTTCAGCACTTGTATGTGGTGGCAAATGGATGCGACTGTTTGCCTGTGAATCCCAGAAACAGAAACTTAGATCTGTGACCACCACACAATGCGTGCCCAGATAGCAGCACAGCTGGCGCAGCAGGCGTCTCCTGGGCCTGGAGCTGGGCACGGAGGCCAAAGGATGTGGACTTTCCATGGGAGCTTCCCAGCTCATGAATGAGATGAGGCTTGGCCTGTCCTGGGAGGGAACTGCGCTGAAGGACGGAACTCAAGAGGATGCCACACGGCGAGGGCAGTGTCACGGCTGCTGATGCGCTGCCCCTGCCAACGCCTCAGAGGAGCCCCTGGACTCGAAATCCTGCCTCTGCAGCTCTGTAGGCCTCCGTCGGTCTATTAATACCTCAACTGATAAAGAAACATTTCTTTCCCATTCCAACACATCCTAATCAAAAACAAATGAGACCAGCTTGCTGGCGGATTGCCTTGTGTTCAGTTCATGCCGGTGGCTCAGACCAGGGAACTGGGGGAAACCACAGTGTTTCTAATAACTGAAGAACTGTGTTTGACCTGGGCGTTTTCCCCGTGAAAGCTGAGTTGATCAAGCCCGCAGAGATGAAAACTGGGCGTCGGTGGAGAGATGAGTCACAGCGCTCCGTCCCTCACGGTGGCCCTCCTGCTGCCCTTCGTGGGCTGCTGCCTCTTCTTGTGTCTTCCTCCACTGCTCAGCTTGCCCATAGGGGTCTCAGGCACCGCAAGGCCGCTTTGTAAAGAATGGATGGAGCATGCACACACAGTGCCCGGCATATTCCTGCTGGGCCGCAGGGTACTGAGCTCCTTCCCTGTACTACTTCCCAGCTCTGCAGTTAGGGTTCTTCTCATTGGAATGGTAAAATGTTTATCCCAAGTGTATGTCATCCAAATGCTCAGTGAAAATAGTCCACCTGAGTTAACCTCTGTCCCCCAAAATGCCACCTTGTATCTCTGATAGAATTCTTGCTCCCTTCCTTTGAGAAGTGGAGCCAGGGGTGGCAGTCCTAGCCCCGTTACCGTGCATTTAATTTTTAAGCACATCTAGCTGAGTCATCCGTGACATCCCAAGCTATTTGTTGGTGCCTGAGAATACAGAATGAGTAAGATGCCGCTCCAGGCCCAGGTGAGAAGTGACACCGTGCTGGCAGCCTTCACAGCCCTCGCTCGCTCTCGGCGCCTCCTCAGCCTTGGTGGCCACTCTGGCTGTGCTTGAGGAGCCCTTCGGCTCGCCGCTGCACTGTGGGAGCCCCTTTCTGGGCTGGCCAAGGCCAGAGCCGGCTCCCTCAGCTTGCGCGGGGAGGTGTGGAAGGAGAGGCGCAGGCGGGAACCCGGACTGTGCGCGGCGCTTGCGGGCCAGCGCGAGTTCCGGGTGGGCGTGGGCTCGGGGGGCCCCGCACTCGGAGTGGCCAGTTGGCCCGCAAGTCCCGGGCAGTGACGGGCTTAGCACCTGGGCCAGCAGCTGCTGTACTCGATTTCTCGCCGGACCTTAGCAGCCTCTCCGCAGGGTAGGGCTCGGGACCTGCAACCAGTCATGCCTGAGCCTCTCCCCAATCCCAGCGGTGGGCTCCTGCACAGCCCGAGCCTCCCGGAGGAGCCCCGCTCCCTGCTCCAGGGCGCCAGTCCCATCGACCGCCCAAGGGCTAAGGAGCGCGGGCGCACAGCACGGAACTGGCAGGCAGCTCCACCTACGGCCTCTCTGAAGGATCCAGTGGGTGAAACCAGCTGGGCTCCTGAGTCTAGTGGGGACTTAGAGAACCTTTATGTCTAGCTAACGGATTGTGAATATACCAATCGGCACTCTGTATCTAGCTCAAGGTTTGTAAATGCACCAATCAGCACTCTGTGTCTAGCTCAGGGTTTATAAATACACCAATCGGCATGCTGTATCTAGCTAATCTAGTGGGGACCTGGAGAACTTTTGTTTCTAGCTCAGGGATTGTAAACGCATCAATCAGCACCCTGTCAAAATGGGCCAATCAGCTCTCTGTAAAATGGACCAATCAGCAGGATATGGCGGGGGAGGAGCAGGGAGAGAGAGCCAGGTAAGGGAATAAAAGCAGGCTGCAGGAACCAAAAGTGGTAACTCACTCGGGGTTGGTTCCACATAGTAGGAAGTTTGTGCTTTCTTTCTTTGCAATAAGTTTTGCTGCTGCTGAGTGTTTGGGTCCCTACTGCTTTTATGAGCTGTAACACTCACCACAAAGGTCTGCAGCTTCATTCCTGAAGTCAGTAAGATCACAAACCCACCAGAGGCACTGCCTTAAGAGCTGTAACGCTCACTGTGAAGGTCTGAAGCTTCATTCTTGAGCCGGCGAAACTGAACTCACCAGAAGAAAGAAACTGGAAACAGGAACATCACTTTTAAGAACTGTGACACTCCTCGCGAGGGTTTGTGGTTTCGTTCTAGAAGTCAGTGATAACCAGGAACCCGCCAATTCTGGACACACAGGTGGAGGGAGGATGCCTGTGTGCCTCCAGGGACTGAGCTGCATCCTAAAATCATGGGCTCCATTGTTCCACAATCTCTGAGAAAGCCTGGGGGCGGGAGGGCCTAAGGAAAATGACCATAGGACTTTGTTTAGCATTCTTGTGTTCAGTGCTGGGGGTGCCTGGCCATAGCTGGAAAACACTTCGCTCCTGCTGTTTTGAAACTTCCCTTGTGCCAAGACAGAAATGCCAAGGGAAGAAAAAACATGAAGCGTGTGGTCCCAGACACAGAAGCCATGTCCATCCCCTCCTCTCTCCCTCCTGTTCCATCCCATGGCTGGTTTTCGTGGCCCTGGGCCCTCGTTCCAGACCTACAGGTACTTGCTGTTCCTCACCTAGGGAACATGCTGTGAAAGGAAACGGGATTATAGGAAAATGAAAGAGAAGGTAGCGAAGATGCTGGCAAGTCAAAAATGTATCAGTGTCTGGGATGGCCTGTGGGGATCAGTGCCTCCCTTTGTCCCGGCAGAGTCGCAGTAGCAGGGCTGAAGCCCAGGCCCGACTTTGCGGCTCACACGCCCTTAGCTTACGCATCTGTGAGCAAAAGCATGCTGGGTCTAGGAGGCACTTTCTAGCCTGGCCTGTGTGGTGCTTAGGGTCCCAGCCATGGCATGCTGAATGTTTGCTTCTCTTTGCTGATCCTTTACTGACCTGAATGAAACGAGGAGACTATAAAAGTTGTCAATTACATCAGCTTCTTTTTTTCTTTTGTTTTTCTTTTTTAAGTTTAATTTTGGCTCTTCTAGGAACGTTATGTACTTGAAAAACAGAATACTATGGCATTCCTCAGTGGGAAAACAACTTTTCTCAGATCCGAAGCTACTAAAATGCCTACTTTTGACGTAGGGTTTTTATTTTTTTTGTTTTTAAAAAGAAAGGTGCAGTAAAATTTATTTTTTATTTATTTATTTATTTTTTCAAACGGTCTTGCTCTGCTGCCCAGGCTGGAGTGCAGGGGTGTGATCTCAGCTCACTGCAGCCTCCACCTCTTGGGTTCAAGCGATTCTCATGCCTCAGCCTTCTGAGTAGCTGGGACTATAGGCATGTACCACCATGCCTGGCTAAGTTTTGTATTTTTTTTTTTTTTTTAGTAGAGACAGGGTCTCACCAGGTTGGCTAGGCTGGTCTCAAACTCCCGACCTCAGGTGATCTGCCCACCTTGGCCTCCCAAAGTGCTGGGATTACAGGCGTGAGCTACCGCACCTGGCCAAATTCACTCTTTCTGGTGTGCAGTGCATCAAATTGGGTAAGCACTACCATAAGCACTACCATAAGCATGGCGCTGAACAGTTGGGTCCCTCCTCATGCTGCCCTGGGGCAGACTCCTCCCACCCTCAGCCCCTGGTATTCCCTGATCTCTCCTCTGTTCTTACTATTTTTTGCCTTTTCCAGAATGTCGTATAAGTGAAACCTACAGTAGGTAGTTTGTTGGGTCTGGCTTCTTCCACTTAAATGCATTGAAAATTAATTCATGCTTATGTGAAGATAAGATTTCATCTTTCTTGGTTAAGGGATGCCTAGTAGCAGAATCTTTTGGTCAGATGGTAAGCATATGTTTAACTGAATAAGAAACCACCAAACTGTTTCCCAAACTGGTTTACCATTTTTCACTTTCGCCAGCAACGCGTATGAGAGTTTTGGTTGTTCCGTGTCCTCTTCAACACTGGGTATTGCCAGATGTTTTCATTCCCGTTTTAGCCATTCTAATAGGACTGCAGAGCCCCTTGTAACTGAATTTGAATTTCTGAAATGATGAATGACATTTAACAGCCTTCCATGCGCCTATCTGCCATCCACATATCTTCCTAGGTGGAGGTTTATTTGCTCACGAAATATTCAAACATGCAGATGTAACAGGTTCTCCTCCGCCCACTCACCACTGATGTCTGGAGGAGGGAGTCTTTGTCTGGCTGTTGGTGTGCAGCATTCCCATGGATGCTCTTGATTATTTGTTACTTATGTCGGTCACCACAAACAATATAGCTTGAGAGGCAGCATGAACATAGAATATTTCTGGAAAAGCACAATGGAAATGGAGATTCCTACCCATCTTCAACATCTGACTGTTTTGGCAGTAGTAGACACTGGGGGCTACTAGGTCGGGGAGAGAGTGGGGTAAGGGTTGAAAACTACTTATTGGGTGAAATGTTCAGTACCTGGGTGATGGGATCCAACGTATCCCAAACCTCAGCATCAGGCAATATACCCATGTAACAAACCTGCACATGCACCCCCTGGCTCTAAAGCAAAAGTTGAAATTATATATACATTGAAAAAAGATGTGGCTCTCCAAGCCCACATCTCCTGATATGCTCCATGAGTTGGCCAAGGCTGCATTGGTTCTGTTGTGTGGCGCTCTGACTTTTCTCCTGTGGTCTTTTTACAGGGTTGGTTGGGATGTGAGTGTAACCTCTGCTGGATGTGGTCACATACAACTGTCTCTTCTCAGTTCTTTGCAAAGCTATGACTGTTCCTGTGAAGGTGTGGTTTGAGGTGGCTGCTGGATTTGACCCTGACTTCAGGAAGTTAAAGGCAGGCGCTTATTCGGAACTCTCCTTTCCCCCACCGCACCACCCTGCGGGAAGGACATGCATTTCTAGTGTTGGCTTCTGCATGGCTGCCTGGGTCATGCGTTTTTGTAGCTCATTAAGGATGACTCACAGGGAAATGAACAGAGGTGGCAGCTCTGCGTGGGTCTGAGGCTAGTTTAGCTTATTTGTCTAGTGAAAGGGGTAAGAAGGCCAATGCCATGGCATTGAAACCAGTGGATACCAAGCAGGTGTCAGCCATCCTCAAAGCACATATTTCCATGAGTATCTAGGAAAAGAGGTGGCATGAATGAACTAAGGGTCTCCTACCACTGGGAAACAAACCTGCCGGAGCCCTCGTGCTGGCGGGCCAACGACATTCTCTCTCTATGGGAGCAGAGCATGTTTTAAAGCTGTTTCAGATGGTGGTGATGCGTCTACCGGAGCAGAGACCCATTTCTTGGTCTAATGTTGTCCCAGCAGAGCTAGAAAGCTTAACTCAATGTCTTACTTTCACAAGACCACATGGCTCCAGGGGCATCCCCAGTCCTCAGAGACATGCCCAGGAGTACATCGACAGATACTCAGTGCACAGGAAGCAGTAATAACAAAACGTGGCAGAGCGGGAGTGTGACACCCACCACTGCCTTTCACCCCATTCGCCTCAGTCCCCCCTTTCTTTCTTCACCTCTTCCATATACTTTTCTTCCCGGGCTGATTTCCTTCTTTATCCTCTGCCTTCTCATTTTTCCCACTGTTATTGGACCTGTTTCATCCTGCCTGTTAGTCTAGCAGTTAGACTGTGTGTCTGCTTCCTCCAGTTGACTGATGGTAAAGAGGGTTGCTGTGCACTGTTGTGAAGGTTTTATGCTGCACAATTCCGAAGCATCATTCACATTGTGGTCGCTGTATGTGTATTTATAAATATATACATATATGTAATACATATACATTTATTAGCACAACTTTCTGATTGTTGGCAATAAAATTGGTTTCAGAAAGAGGTGCCTCTGTCTAATTTGTACAAAGGTACAGTCAGGCTAATGATGGACCACATCTTTTCAAAATATATATAGGCTCTATTTTTCAGAATAGTTTTAGGCGCACAGAAAAATTATGCAGAAAGTACAGGGAGTTCCCAAATGCTGTCTCCCTCACCACCAGGAACCATGTCTTTTTAAACATCAAGCTCCCATATCCAAGCCCAATGTCTGCTACCCAGGAGGTTTTCAATACATGTTTTTTCAAACATCAAATTGTGTTACTCACAACTGATGATCTCTACCAGAATGTGGTCCTGAATTACCCCGATGAAAATCTGAGAAAGGATGTATTTCCTAGAACCCCTAGAAAGAATTTTACCCAATGAATGGCACAACTCTTAATAATAGCAATAGGGTTCAGCATACCTCTGTGTGCCAGGCACCAAGAAAGATGCCTCCTGGGGATCTTGGACTCTATGGGATTATGTAGGCCTCACAGGTTAGTGGAGTAGGTATTTGTACCCTCATTTTTGACTTGAGGAAGCCTGGGTTCCAGCAGGATAGGACGATGTCTAAAGTCACATCCGTAAGCAGGAGCAGCACCAGCATCGGAGCCCAGGCTGTGCTTCCTGACCAGAGGTATGTCCTCATCTTCACAGTTGAACACCATAGCCACTGGCCACATGTGACCATTGAAAATTTGAGGGGGGCTGGTCTGCACCGAGACATGCAGGAAATATGAAATGCACACTGGGGTTAGTGCCAAAAAGAACACTAACTATCTCATTAATCATTGCTTTGATTGAGTACATACATGTTGAAAGGATACTATTAGATTATATAAAATAGATTACTAAAATTAGTAATAATATTAGATTACTATAATAGATTACTAAAATTAATTCCAACTGTTACGTTGTACTCTTTTTGAATGTGGCTACTAAGAAATTCCCAGAAGGGTTCTCATCTGCAGGCTGTATCAAGTTTCTATGGGACACCAACTGCTAGGAGAAACTTAGAGAGAGTTTCCTATTCTGAAAGGGAAGAACATGTCAGGGACGCTGAGGACCTGGGCAGTCTCTGCTCCATCAGCCATCCAGCCCTGGGCAGGTCCCTTTCCCGCATGCTACCTGAGTTTCCCTCTTAAAGAATGTGAAAGACTGGACCGGGTATAAGGCAGGAAGCTCTCTCTGGATGCCTGGTTTTAGGCACCCAAAGAGACATTGTGCCCTGCTTCTTGTCTCTCCTAAGAACACAGCCAGTTACCCTGGTGGTTTGTGGTTTGGAGACATCACTGTCCAGCAGAGAAGACAATGGCTTTCTCAGGGTCTAGAGGAAACTGCTATGATGCTAGTGCTGTTCCCTTAATCCTGAAGGGCACAAAGGCCATGCTTCTCATTCACTGGGGAGACTTGTGGAGGTAAAGGGATCATCAGATGGAGGAGAGTCAACTGGCTTTGGTTCTTAACCATTTTTAGCACAGTGTTCCTCTCTTACTCTTCATTTCTTTCTTGTGGTTTATTTCATCAATGGAGGACCTTGATGTAATTGTTTCCCTGTAATTTGTAGATAATATCTCTCTCACTAAATATAGAACACTGCCTCTATCTGTGCATTTTACAGGGAAGTCGTACCTTGCATGGAAATTAAACAAGAAATTAGAATTACTAATAATGACTTAACGGTTGAATTTAAGATGACTAAATGAAGACAATAACATCATTGGCATAAACATGCAGGGTAACAATTGTACCCATTGCAACATTTCCCTTCGGGTTCCAGCCTCACAGCTTCCAGAGCAGGCACCCTCTGTTTATACAGTACTCTGCCCATTTTTTCAGCTGCCTTGGTGGAAGCCAGTCTCTAGAAAAAGCAAGGTGGTTGCCTCCCTGTGTGCTCTGCTCAGTTAGCGCCTGGAGAATTCTGTTTGATGTTCAACATTTTAGGAGCAGGACACAGGAGTGAAGGCGGCGCTTGCTTCTCTCCTGCAGTGCCACGACTCACTCAATGGAGTCTGCTCATCTTGGGATGAAGGACAGGACCGGAGACGGTCGTCACTCCCACAGTTATACCACTCGACTGGGGTCTCATTTCCACATGACTTCTCTGGTATTAAAGAAATCCTTCTCAAGCCTGGGCAACATGCATGAGAGAAATAATGAAGAGATGAGACACCCGAACTCAGTAGAGATGGTCCAGTGGAACTGTGGGATATTGGCAGAGGGCCAAGGGATACGGGGACGCAGCCTACCGCTTGGGCTACCTTTTACTTTTTCAGATTTTATTTTTATTTATTCACGCCTCCCTGCCCCTGAGGAAGTGAAAATGTTGGGTTTCAAGAAAAGAAGGGTCAGCAGGAGCAGGAGAGCGGGGACGCATGTTTGAAGGGCTGCCGTGCCGCTGCCTCCCATCGAGCCACTTCCTAACCAGTGCAGCAGGTGTCTCGGCAGGTAGAGGGCTCGAGACTGTGCTGCTGCTTGGACCCATTAGAGATTCCACGGGTGCCATGTCTGGACAACTGAGGTCTCCTTGGGCCCTCTCCTGTCAGGCCTGCAGGGCCTGCAGTAAGGTGCTTTCACCTCCCACAGCTTCCAGGGACTCGTGATTCATGGGCATGAGGGCAGTGGGCATTTACCCTGGCTATGCAGCAAAGTGGTCCCTAAAAAACAACTCTTGCCCCAAGATGGGGGCAGAGACATGCACATGAGCCCGCTGGGCATCTTCCCCACTGAGAGCAGCTGCACATGTGTGGCCACGTCCCTGTGCGTTGGTGCTCCTTCTCCCATGCTGAATATGGCTGCCGTTTATTGAGCGCCTTCTGTGTGTTGGGCAGTGTGGGAGGGGCTTCCTGTTTTTTTCTTGGCTAAGCCTGTAGCAGGGCATCCTGGTTCTGCAGAGGAAACCCTGCACACACTAGCCGAGACTCTGTCCTGCCACCCCTCTCCAACTGGGACAAATGCAGCTCTTTCCACCCCACTGTCCCGGGAGGCAGAGGCAGTCCTCATGGAAGCAAACACGCCTGCACTCCAACCCTCAGCTGCTCCTTCTTCAAATGTGGTGCGCTGGGATGGCAGAGCCATGGCTGTTGCTCAAGAATCGCCTGCCATGCGTAATCAAGGCAAAGAGGCAAGGAGAAGCCTGTTTTGAAAGAAATCTGAAGATGATGGCATGAGACTCCTCAGATCCAGTGTCAGCACTGCGTCTCTTGGTTTGGCCAGGCAGATGCCTGGTGCAGGGAGGGGGAAGCAGGGAGGCTCGGACACCCTCACAGCAAGGAGTGTCCGTGGCTGGAGAGAACCCAGTGGGTTTCCCACCTCCCAAGGCCAGTGTGGTGGGCTGCTCTTTCCCTGCCACAGTCAAAGGAGGGGCGCTCCAAGACACACACACAGAGCCTGCAGACAGCTGCACCCAAGAGGCACGCACTCTCATCTCCCTGGCCCCAATGTCTGAGAAGTGGGGAAAGATGCCTGGAGAGAAGGAAAGGCAGACACAGACAGATGTGGGGCAGCCCCGGTGCGGGGAGGCAAGAGTGGACCCAACAGAAGTGGCCTGGCCTGCCTGAGCTGGCCCACCCCCGGAAAAGTGCCTTGGGCAGGGCCTGCAGGGATGGGACTTCCAAGAGCTCTCCTTCCATCCCTACAAACCACGCTCCTGGGGGACTTTCCCCCTGCCTCACCTAGGACTCATTCACGAGAGCCAGCCTTTGGATACCTCTGCCAGCCAGAGTTGTCCAAGAAAAAGCTGTATTATGATATTACCAGAGAGGGAGAGACCTCAGTTCCTCTCCATCTCTGCTGTCCTTCTTTCTCACCCTAGTAGCCCCAAGCTGCTAAGACCAAAGGTGGAAGGAATGGGGAGCAGAAGAGCAAATCAAACCCACCCAGGGTGTGCTGATGCATGGCTTGCAAGCCGCATGGAGGAGGGGGTGGAGCAAGCCTTGATGTGCAGTCTCTGCCCATCCCTGTGGTGTAAATACTCCCACCAGCTTCAAGCTCCCAGCCTGATGCCTCTGAACGCAGGGCTGGAAAAGTCTGCACTTCAGCACACCCTTCACCCCACAGAGGCAATACACACAAACCGCCTCTAAAGAAGAGATGCTAGTAAATGCAGTTGAGAAATCAGGAAGTAATGAGTAGTTGGAGTATGGATTACCTTTGTTGCTAATATAATTCATTAGAAGTTTATGTATTTTTTATGGTGGCTCTGTTGAAAAACAGCAGAGAAGCAGACACTTGGCTCTGGCCCCTGGGGCCTGGCCCCCCCACCCCAGGCCTGCCTTGGCAGAAGCAGGGCAGGAGGCAGAGATGCCCAGTGAGGGGCGCTTGCATTTGGCCAGATTCCTCCCCCTGTGCCTTTGCATCCGCACACAGAGTGCAGAGCCCAGGGCTGCTCCTAGGCCTTTGACTGGCAGGAAGCCGTGCTGTGCAGCCTCTTTTTCTCCTGCCTGCAAGTAGTCTGCGTGACACTGAGACGTGACAGCATACTGGCAGTCCTCACAGCCCTCACTCGCTCTCGGCGCCTCCTCTGCCTGGGCTCCCACTTTGGCGGCACTTGAGGAGCCCTTCAGCCCACCACTGCACTGTGGGAGCCCCTTTCTGGGCTGGTCAAGGCCGGAGCCGGCTCCCTCAGCTTACAGGGAGGTGTGGAGGGAGAGGCGCCAGCGGAACCCGGGCTGCGCGCGGCGCTTGCGGGCCAGCGCGAGTTCCGGGTGGGCGTGGGCTTGGCGGGCCCCGCACTCGGAGCATCAGGCCGGCCCTGCAGGCCCCGGGCAATGAGGGGCTTAGCACCCGGGCCAGCGGCTGCGGAGGGTGTACTGGGTCCCCCAGCAGTGACAAACCACCGGCGCTGCACTCGATTTCTCGCCGGGCCTTAGCTGCCTTCCCGCGGGACAGGGCTCGGGATCTGCAGCCCGCCATGCCTGAGTCTCCCACCCTCTCCGTGGGCTCCAGTGCGGCCCGAGCTTCCCCGATGAGCGCCGCCCCGTGCTCCACGGCGCCCAGTCCCATCGACCACCCAGGGGCTGAGGAGTGCCGGCTCACAGCGCGGGATTGGCAAGCAGCTCCGCCTGCAGCCCCGGTGCGGGATCCACTGGGTGAAGCCAGCTGGGCTCCTGAGTCTAGTGGGGACGTGGAGAACCTTTATGTCTAGCTAAGGGATTGTAAACACACCAATCGGCACTCTGTATCTAGCTCAAGGTTTGTAAACACACCAGTCCGCACCCTGTGTCTAGCTCAGGGTTTGTGAATGCACCAATCGACACTCTGTATCTAGCTCAAGGTTTGTAAACACATCAGTCAGCACCCTGTGTCTAGCTCGGGGTTTGTGAATGCACCAATCGACACTCTGTATCTAGTTACTCTGGTGGGGCCTTAGAGAACCTTTGTGTGGACACCGTATCTAGCTAATCTGGTGGGGCCTTGGAGAACCTTTACGTCTAGCTCAGGGATTGTAAATACACCAATCGGCACTCTGTATCTAGCTGCTCTGGTGGGGCCTTGGAGAACTTTTATGTCTAGCTTGGGGGTTGTAAACGCACCAATCAGCGCCCTGTCAAAACAGACCATTCAGCTCTACCAATCAGCAGGATGTGGGTGGGGCCAGATAAGAGAATAAAAGCAGGCTGCCTGAGTCAGCGGCGACAACTCCTTCGGGTCACGTTCTGCATTGTGGAACCTTTGTTCTTTTTCTCTTTGCAATAAATCTTGCTTACTGCTCACTCTTATGGGTCCACACTGGTTTTATTAACTGTAACACTTATCTTGAAGGTCTGCAGCTTCATTTCTGAAGCCAATGAGACAATAACCCTACTGAGAGGGATCGAACAACTCCTGAAGTGCAGCTTTAAGAGTTGCAACACTCGCACTAAAGGTCTGCAGCTTCACTCTTGAGCCAGTGAGACCACAAACCCACCACAAGGAAGAAACCGAATGCATCCGATACATCAGAAGCAACAGACTCTGGACATGCTGACGTTAAGAACTGTAACACTCACCGT
Source organism: Homo sapiens (assembly GCF_000001405.40). Taxonomy (NCBI): domain Eukaryota; kingdom Metazoa; phylum Chordata; class Mammalia; order Primates; family Hominidae; genus Homo; species Homo sapiens. The sequence continues at coordinate 425,234 of NC_000006.12, read as the reverse complement.
GAGGGCCTGTGGCTTCATTCTTGAAGTCAGTGAGAGCAGGAACTCAAATTCCAGACACAATACTTGGAGCTCTGGAGCTGCCTGGCGGAGGCACACCAGGGAGTCTCAGGTTTTGACAGTTTCACTTGTTTCCTAACAAGCCTCAGCGGGGTTCTGCCCAGGACCGCTGCCTTGGGACCCCCAGATCCCTGCTCCAGTTTCTCTGCAGCTAGCTTTGGTTCTTCTGCAGGTCTCTGCATTCCTCCTCCCTGGCCACGGCTCCCTTCTGCCCTGCTGTGCCCGCTTTTCGCCTTTGGGTGCGCAGGTTTCCTGCGGTGCTGGTTGGAAACGCGGAGTAGGCCCCAGAGCTGTCTGCAGAGGGAGCCTGGCCCCTTCCTCTGTCCCAGGAGGAGGCCCTGACACCCAGGCGCCAGGCCCAGCACGGGAAGGGTAACGCAGAAAGGAAGGCCCGGCGGGGGGCTCCGTCGGCGGGGAGGGCGGGAAGGCCCGGCGGGGGGCTCCGTCGGCGGGGAGGGCGGGAAGGCCCGGCGGGGGGCTCCGTCGGCGGGGAGGGCGGGAAGGCCCCGCGGGGGGCTCCGTCGGCGGGGAGGGCGGGAAGGCCCGGCGGGGGGCTCCGTCGGCGGGGAGGGCGGGAAGGCCCGGCGGGGGGCTCCGTCGGCGGGGAGGGCGGGAAGGCCCGGCGGGGGGCTCCGTCGGCGGGGAGGGCGGGAAGGCCCCGCGGGGGGCTCCGTCGGCGGGGAGGGCGGGAAGGCCCGGCGGGGGGCTCCGTCGGCGGGGAGGGCGGGAAGGCCCGGCGGGGGGCTCCGTCGGCGGGGAGGGCGGGAAGGCCCGGCGGGGGGCTCCGTCGGCGGGGAGGGCGGGAAGGCCCGGCGGGGGGCTCCGTCGGCGGGGAGGGCGGGAAGGCCCGGCGGGGGGCTTCCTCGGCGGGGAGGGCGGGACAGTCCGGTCCAGAGCTCAGCAGCGCCCGCGGCGGCCTGGAAAGGACCTTGCGGACTGGAGAGCCGAGGCCTAGCGCCGCATGGTTGGAGGTGTGCTTTTCCCCTGGCCGGAAGTTGTGCTTTCGCTGCTGGTGTCGGCTTCCCATCGCGAAGCAGTTCTCCATTGGTTCGGACTGGCGGGGCTGTTGTGCTGGGCTGGCCGGGAAGGGCTGGCTCGGGGCCCGCAGGAGCCAGGCCACAAGGAGACGGCCCTGGGAAGCCTTCCCTGTGCCCTGTTCAGGACAGGCGAGCAAAGTCACCTGCAAGTCCTTACCGATCCTCTTCCCCAGCAGGGCCCAGCACCTCCTGCCCTCTTCCCGGGCACCCACGGGCTCCTGGAGGTGGTCCCAGCCAGCACGGGCCCCGCGGCCACGCGTCTCACGGCACTGGGAGCCTCTGCAGCCCCCGCCGCACCCCAAGCCTTGCCCTGAGGCCCCCTCCGCCCACACCCCACCTCTTTCCCCGCGGCCACACCCATCTTTCAGGGGTTTCTCCTTCAAACTCCAGGACAAAAACAGCCGTCCCAAATGTTGGGGACCTACCCAGGTCTCAGGCAGACTCTGCTAGCACTAACGTGCTTCCATTCTCTACCTTGTTCCATAGCTGAGTTTTTCTTCTGCGCTCCAAAGGGACTTTGTGAGGGCTCCCTGCCTCCATCCTACAGAGGAGGTGGCATCCTGTGCCACACATGGTCTCTCTTTGGAGGCTGAAGAAAGTCTGGGATCAAGAGTAAGAGGCACAAGGGCTCCCTGCTCCTCACCCAGAGTGTCTTGAACAGAGCAGTGGGAGAGCAGGGACTCCGTCCAGGCAGGCAGGCCACAAGCCCATGGAAGCCCCATGGCCCCTCCACTCACCTTCCTCTTCTGGCTGTGGTCACTGGTGAGGGGAGACATGAACTAGCGCCTGATTCCAGGTGGAAGGAACCAGGTAGAAGGGGAGGGACAGCCTCCCAGCACAGAGGAGACTAAGAACAAAGTGACCAGCCGGCCAGGTCCAGGTTGGCTGCATGTGGCCAGGCAGCTCACGCTGAGAGGGGACGTCACTCCATCTCTCATTCTGCTTATTCTCTCCTTTAGACGGTTAAAATCTATTTTTAAAATTTTCAACCTAAACATCTTTTAAAGTTCAATGTTTTGTATCATGACCTGGGTCCTAAATGTCAAAAAAAAAAAAAAAAAAAAAAAAAAAACCCTGAATTTTGTTTTGCCATTGCTTATGAACATGAGGGAAAGCAGGCCTCTTGGTTGTTTCATGAACCTTTAAAACATTGAGCAAAAGTTATGTGGTCACAAAATCACACGGTGGTGAGTAAGCTCCGGTGCGAGGTCACCCAAGCAAACATAGCCACGGGGATGACTAAAATGTTCAGGCACCTCTGAAGTGAGTGTCTCAGCTTCAGTTGTTTGCATTTCTTGGCTCTTTTTTTTTTTGCCAGGAAAAGACTCCAACATGTAATCATTTACAGAGAAGAGTCATGTTTCAGCAACATGGAAAAAATGTAAATCAATCTATGAGACTGACCATGGACAAGGACTTTATGTTCCTTATCCAGAAGGAAGGCAGAATTTTCCAACAAAGCTGTGAAATTGTAGGAAAGCATCCAGTCACCAGGTTTCAGAGAGATTTGCTTGTTGGAGATTTATGGCCGATCAGAGAAAACGGTTGGTCAGAGAAAGAGGAAACCCCTCCTTCCAGTCTATAACTTGACCTACTGATTAAAGTTACAGGGTAAAAATGAAGATCTCCCCTGAAGTCAATAATCAATCAAGTAATTAATTCTTAATTGATTAAATTTTCTGTTCATCTGATAAGCATGAGGCCCCAAAAGCAGATGCTAGGCACCATGGGAGACAGATGGGAATTTGGTGTCTCTCTAAGGAGTAGTACTACACCTGCCACGGGTTTCGGAATCCAGAGGACTTCAGATGCATCTAAAGGCATTTTAATTCTTATTAATTATTTAAAAAAGATGTTGGAAAATAGATATATCATTGGCCCATCAAACTTGTGGCTTTTACACGTTTTATTGCTCAACATGGTGCTAAAGTAGATATTTAACTTTAGGCCAGGCACAATGGCTCATGCCTGTAATCCTAGCACTTTGGGAGGCTGAGATGAGCAGATCACCTGAGGTCAGGAGTTTGAGACCAGCCTGGCCAACATAGTGAGACCCCATTTCTACTAAAATAACAAATATTAGCCAGGTGTGGTGGCACATGCCTATAGTCCCAGCTACTTGGGAGGCTGAGGCAGGAGAATTGCTTGAACCCAGGAGGCAGAGGTTGCAGTGACCCAAGATGGTGCCATGGCACTCCAGCCTGGGTGACAGAGTAAGACTTCGTCTAAAGAAAAATGTTTAAAACCAACAGTTTTAAGAAAATAGCAATACTTTTAAAAGTATTTTAAGAAGTAATGTTTTAAATAGATAACAGATACTAAATGCATAATAGTCATATTTTTAAATTAAATAATGTTTAAATAAATAATCAAAAGTTTGAAGGCAGTGTAAATAGGACTAAAATTTAGGAAACACTGAGGTAAGAAGGTACTGCCCTACTCTCAAAGGAGCTTCTAATGAATACCAAGTTAGTAATAGCTGCTGTGCTTTAAATGTGTCCCCCAAATTTCATGTGTTGAAAACTTAACCCCCACATTGATTTGCTGATGATATTTGGAGGTAGGGCCTTTGGGAGGTAATGAGGATTAGATAAGGTCATGAGGGTGCGGCCCCCATGATGGGACTGGTGGCTTCCTAAGGAGAGGAAGAGAAACCTGAGCTGGCGTGCCCATGCCCTCTGGCCATGCGACACCCTCAGCCATGCGACGTTATGATGCAGCAAGGAGGTCCTTACCAGGTACCAGTGCCATGCTCTTGGACTTCCCAGCCTCCAGAATCATAATAATACATACTTTTCTTTGTAAATTACCCACTCTATGGTATTCCATTATAGCAACAGGCAACAGACTAAGACAATTCGCCAATATTTACATAGGATTAACTGTGCCCCAGCTATTACTCTTAGCACTTTATCACTAATCCCGACAACTACCCTATGAAATAGGTGTCCTGTTTCATAGAAGAAACTAAAGCACAGAGAGTTTTATAGGATGAAGATGGAGCACCTGGGTAGGACCAGCCAGGATGATATCCTTTCACCAACACTTGCTGACCATGGGACCCTCTCAAGATCCTCCCTGTGCTCTGTGCCCCCATCTGTAAGGTGAGAAATGAAATGCCTGTCTCCCAGGATTACTTCAAGGATTACAGGAGTTGACACATGGCAGTGCACTTAGCACCTAATAAATGTTAATTAGACCTTTATGCTTAATCCCAAACTCTTGGTTCTTCTCCTTTCTTTGTGGAACAGGCTGTTCTCTCTGCTCCCATTCTCTTTCCCCACCTAAAGAAATTGGCTCCCATCTGTGGGATACCAAGCATCTTAGAAAGTCTGGGTGTGATGCTGGAGGGCTGCTCACCAGTGGTGTGGATACAGGTACACCGTGCCACCTCTCTGACTCTTGGTACGTCAATGGTGGAAGGGAAGGCAGGCTGGCATCAGAATTAAGAGATAAGGCTATGAAACCACAAAGGCCTGGATTTGAATCCTGGCTTCCTCTTTTAGTAGTTGTATATTAGGGTACTGGCTTTACACTCCTGGGCCTCAGTTTCTCACCTTAAAAATGGAGAATGAAAATATTTCCTTCTCGGAAATGCCCTGCCCGTAGCGTCTGTCTCAGTGCTTGCTGGCCTCCTGCACCCACACAGAAGCTGTGCGATTACAGCTGGCTATCCCTGGAAAGCAGGGAGGGTCAGGAACATGGGGAGTCTTCAGAAGATGTTTGTGGAATGAATCCTTTTTAAAAAAATCAATGTTCTTCAGAAAATAACAAGTGTTGGTGAGGATGTGGGGAAACTGGAATCCTTGTGCATTGCTGGTGGGAATGTAAAATGATGCAGCCACTGTGGTAAACAGTACAGTGGTACCTTTAAAATATTAATTATAGAATTTTCATCGCTCCAGCAGTTCCACTTCTGGGTATACACATGAAAGAATTGAAAGCAGGGTCTTGAAGACCCATTTGTCCACCCATGTCCACAACAGCGTTATTCACAGTAGCTAAAACACGGAAGCAACTCAAGTGTTCAGGACAGATAAATGAACAAAATATGGTCCACCCATGCAATGGAATATGATTTAGCCTTAGAAAGAAAGGAAATTCTGACACGTGCTGCAACATGAACGAACCTGGAGGACATCAAGCTCAGTGAAATAAGCCAGACACAGAAGGACAAATACTGCAGGATTCCACGCATACAAGGTATCCAGAGTAGTCAGTTTCATAGAGATAGAAAGTAGAATGGTGGGGGCTGGGGGCAAAGGGGCCAGGGAATGGGGAGATAGTGTGGGATGGAGACAGGGTTTCAATTTGGGAAGATGAGAAAGTCCTGCAGACAGATGCTGGATATGGCTGCACAGCAATGTGAATTACTTAATGCCACTGAACTGTATACCTAAACATGGTTAAGATGGTAAATTTTATGTTATGCATATTTTCCACAAATAAAAAAGAAGAATCAATGTTCTTATCCTTCCTGTTTCCAGGCAACCCCAAATGCTGACATTAGCGTGAGGGGAAACAGCAGGGCCAAAGGCAAAGAGTCAGTCCCTAGCTGTACAGAGACTGTGATGACTGAGGAAGGGCAGAGACTCAGGAGGGTCCCAGAATGGGGGTGAGAGTGAGAGGGAGGTTCTCACATGGGGGTTGGAGGTGAGGAAAGGAGATCCCACAATGGGGGTGCTAGGGATGGAGGGAGATCCCCACATGGGGGTGGGAGGGGGGAAGGGAGGTCCTGAGTTGGGGGTGCTAGTGGGGGAGGGAAGGGAAATCCCATATTGGGGTGCTAGTGGGGGATGGAGGTCACACATTGGGGTGCTGGTGGGGGAGGGAGGTCCCGCATGGGGGTGCTGGTGGGGGAGGGAGGTCCCGCATGGGGGTGCTGGTGGGGGATGGAGGTCCCGCATGGGGGTGCTGGTGGGGGAGGGAGGTCCCGCATGGGGGTGCTGGTGGGGGAGGGAGGTCCCGCATGGGGGTGCTGGTGGGGGATGGAGGTCCCGCATGGGGGTGCTGGTGGGGGAGGGAGGTCCCGCATGGGGGTGCTGGTGGGGGATGGAGGTCCCGCATGGGTTGCTGGTGGGGGTTGGAGGTCCCACATGGGGGTGCTGGTGGGGGAGAGAGGTCCCGCATGGGGGTGCTGGTGGGGGAGGGAGGTCCCGCTTGGGTTGGGGATGAGAACGGGTGGCCGAGGGAGTTTCCGCATGGGGGAGTGGGGGTGCCAGAGGGAAGTTCACAGGCTGGGGGTCCCTGCATGGAGGCAGCTGCAGCCAGAAAGCTGAGAGAGCGTTCATCCTCAGTGTCATAGCTCAGAGGACAAAGAAGCATCTTGGGAAAGATGAGGTGGGGGAAAGCATATCAAGGGGAAATGGTAGGAAAAGAAATTAATGGAGGCAGGACTGGGAGATGGGCCCTGAGACCCTGAGCCCCTGGTCCCTTCACCTCAGAGCTGGTCCCACCCCCAGAGCTCTGGGGACCCCACAAGGCAGCTTGAGAAACTGGAAGCCCACCAAAAAATATAAAGGGACGTATCAACTTAGAAAGATTACATTTGTGCTTTTCTCCCTTTCTAGTAACAAAATATGTGGTCTCAGGAGAAACTTTGAAAAGTACAAAAAAGCACACAAGAAAATAAAAAATTTCCATGACCCCACATCTCAGGGGTATAATTTACACTGTTGAATGTTCTTTTTAAAAAATTCTATGTATGAGCTCCATGAAATTTTAAAAAGATATCACATTGTTTTGAAACCTGTTTCTTTTTACTTTACAAAGTAACAACCATTTCCCCATGCCATGAAATACTTGTATACTGCACAATTTGTAAGTGGTTCTATAGCATTTCATGCCATAGGTGGCTCATCACTTGGCCAGCATCCTATTGGACACTGTTGGACATGGTAGACATCTAGGTTCGCCAACTGTGTCATTTCCTGAGGATTCGATGGTGCTGACTATAAGCCAGGTGCTGCACCAGTACTGGGTGTTTACTGGAAAGCACAGTTCCCTTCCTCAAGGAATTTATAGTACAGAAGACAAATTAATAAACAGACAATTACAATAAAGAATGGGCAGTGTTATGCTGCGGACATGGTGCGTAGAAATCTAAGTCCAGAGCCAAAGTTTTTAAGACATGTAGTTCATATTTTCTTTAACAATATAATTGTTAATTTTAAGCTCATATTCCACTAGGGTGATGCAAATTCAAGTTCAGTTCACTTTGGATCCCTCTCCTCCCTCTCCTCCCTCTCCTCCCTCTCCTTCCCTTGAACTGGGGCTAAGTTTGGCATAGCTCCCACAGAGCCAGAGCCTGTGCTGGTGGGCAGGGGATCTTGTCCTCAATGCAGTTTCTGCTCAGACACACCCAGGCATGCCCACTCTTTGGCCCCATAGTCATCGATCCACGCCGGTTACCATGGAGTTATCCTTCAGTCCTGCCCACCTGGCCCCTTCGTAACCTGCGGTTCTCACTGCTCCTTCCCACAAACTTTTCTCAAGTTTGCTGTCTCATCAAAGTTTTTCCCAGGAGGCAGAAGATCGTTCCCCTTTATCAGGGAGTGGCTGAAGTCTAAACACTCATTTCTTCCTTTCTCAGCGAGCACTCGCTCTCCCTTCCTCAACCCTCAGCATTTTGCTTTAGTCTCAAGTAGGAGGCCAGGAGGGAAAAGGAGCTTTTCTCACATTCCCAGCCAGTTTGAGTCCTGAGCACCAGTGACCCAGCTGCTTGGAGAGTAAGGAAAGGGGAATGACATAGTGGGGCAAAGTGTTTCTCAAGACAAATATCACACTTTGGAGACCCAAACAGAGGGTGGAATAAGGGAAGCAATGCCTGCAGAAGGGGAGTGTGCCACAGCCAAGACCTGTGGGCGCAGACTAGCCAGGGGAGCAGAGGCAGAGGGCAGAGGGAAGAGAAGGAAGGAGTCTTTGAGGACTCCCTAAGGACAGACATTTTGCCAACACACTACCAGTGTGGCAGGAGGAGGGGTCACTGAAAAGGCCGGGTTGCCTTCAAACACCATATAATTCATAATGCTACACTGAAACAGAGAATATATGTCTGCCTGTGTTAATTTAGGTATAGCCTGTCCAGAGCTCCTTTGCAGAGAGATGAGACAGGACCCAACGTGTCTTTCTGGCCTAGGGGAGTACTGGTGGCACACTGCAACAAGCGTGTTTGTCAGGTGATCATTGTTTTTAGGAAATCAAATCCAATACAGCCAAACTTGTGCTGCAGTTACAGAACAGTTTACGAGAATAAACACTGGTACCTTAGAGATACATAAAATTACTTCAGAGCAATCTCAAGGGCTCAAAACCCTTTGGAATACCCTTTTAGATATAACCAGTTGATATATTATTTGAAGAAAAACTTGCCTATGCATGTATACTGACTTGAGTCCACCTGTATTTGTTGAGCAAATGGAGCCCCAAGAAGAAGAAAGATTGTTTATTTGTCCATTATTTCTATTTCGTTATGAAGGAAACCAAAATACTTCTTCCAAAAATATTGAGGATTATTAAGTTAAACACACTGAAAATGCAAGGAAACACTCTGCCCCACCTCTATTTGCCTGATGTCAGGACATAAATCCTTCCTTACTAGAAATTGGCCCAGAGAAGGCATCAGCAAGCACCAGAACAATCTGGGAACAAGGTTTACTATCTTCCCACATTTTCCCAGTTTTTAAAAGACTGGAACTGCCCCCTCCTTTGCTTTGTCTCTATGCTAAGATTTATTGTTTTTTGTTAAAATACTACTTAAGAAAGATTCCTCATCTACTCTGCCCTGGGAGAGAAATACATTTGAACTGAGGCCTTCTTCTAGGTGATGGGTACAATATTCATCAATAAACTTCTTCTGGCTTTTCTCTTGTTAATCTTTTTTTTTTCAGGAAAGTGTCTCAGGTAAGAAAATATGAGGATTGAGAAAATAAATCATATTTTCTTTCCTTCAATTTGACAACCACAAAGGCACACTTTGCTCACACTAGGGCCAATGGATGGAGCTCTGAGAGATCTGAAAGAAACCAGCAGAAAAGGGTAAGGTTTCTTACCAACGTCAGCTCTTCACATCTCTATTTTTAGTGCTCAGTTGAGAGGGGAGGGTAAGAGTTTTTTCTTTTTTCCTTCATTTCCAAATTTAAATAGGAGAAAATTATTTGTATAAATTGGCTCTTGGATATAGTGACTCTGGTGTTTTTATTTTGGCTTATTGGTTTACATCACTTTGAAATAAATTAGACTGGCTATATTTAAAATAAATTTCTTTTAGAGAAGTTCACTTTTCAAATGCCTGTAAGTCATTGCAAGATTGACAAAACACTCTTCAGCCTAATTCTCTAAGCCTTTCTCAGCCCATGGAAGATGTTAATCTTACCATGTTTTTGAAATGTTATTCAGGGAATTAATTAAGCAGCATTCAAGCAGAGATTGGATTTGACACAGAGTTAAATAAAGTTCTTTAGACCCACCACCAAATTGATTTCCTTAGTAAATACCTTAGCTTGGGAGAGAAACATTTATACAAATTAGTGTAAATGCCTTGTTTTTAATTATTTATATGAGTCTTGACTTTTTGTGGTACCCATTGGTAATCCTTTCTACTACCATGAACAGCTTTTGATTTCCTCTCTTACAGACTGTCTTTTTTTATTCTTCTATCTATGGACACATGGGGTTGTAAGGCCTTTGTGTACTTTGTCAGATGAGAACCTGAGACCCTAGATAGAGGTGCTAGTGAAATTTTCCTTTCTTTATCACATGACCAGGCTGCAAATTTTTCAAACTTTTATGCTCTGCTTCCATTTTAAATATAAGTTCCAGTTTCAGGTTATTTCTTTGTTCACACATATAAGCATAAGCTGTTAGAAGCAGCCAGGTCACATCTTAAACACTTCACTGCTTAGAAGTTTCTTCTGCCAAATACCCTAAATCATTGCTCCCAAGTTCAAAGTTCCACAAATCTTTAGAGTAGAGGCTCTTTGCTAATGCGTAACGAAAGCGACCATTACTCCAGTTCCCAATAAGTTCCTCATTTCCATCTGAGACCTCCTCAGCCTGGCCTTCATTGTCTATATCACTATCAGCATTTTGGTCACAATCATTCAGCAAGTCCTTCGGGAGTTCCAAATTTTCCCTTATCTTCCTGTCTTCTTCTGAGCCTCCACACTCTTCCAATCTCTGTCTGTTATCCAGTTCCAAACCCACTTCCACATTTTCAGGTATCTTTATCACAATATCCCACTACTGGTACCAATTTTCTATATTACTCCATTCTTGCACTTCATAAATAAATACCTGAGACTGGGTAATTTATAAAGAAAAGAGGTTTAATTAGCTCACAGTTCTGCCAGCTGTACAGGAAGCATGGCAGCATCTGCTTGGCTTCTGGGAAGGCCTCAGTAAACATACAATCATAGTGGATGGTGAAGGGGAACCAAGCATATCTTATATGGCAGGAGCAGAAGGAGGAAGTGGGGGAGGTGCTACACACTTTTAAATAACCAGATCTTGAGAGCACTCACTCACCATCATGAGAGCAGTACTGAGAGGATGGTGCTAAACCACTCATGAGGGACCACCCCAATGATCCAGTCACCTTCTACCAGGCCTCTCCTCTGGCATTGGGGATTACATTTCAACATGAGATTTGGGTGGGGACTCAGATCCAAACTATATCATATGGATATGTTATTAATATGTGTTCTAAAATTGTATGAGATTCCTAAAAATCTGATATGTTTTGGTAATGTTGTCAGTTATAATTATGGGTATTATGTTAAATTGTTGTAAGCCACAGAAAGTAACCAAATTTCCATGTCAATTGTGTCTTTAACTATGTCCATTTTAAGTCTTGTTATCTGCTATTAATTGCTTTATTATGATACTTTTTCTAAAAGCTCTTTGCAGATCCTAAAGTGTTATGTCTTCAAGAAGGTTCATAGAAAGGACTGAAAGAAGTACTCTTGAATACAGGTTCCTGACAACTTTGAGACCATATTATTGGAGTCATTAAAAATTTCCAGAATGCTAATGAAAAAAAAACTGGACTCATAAAATTAGTAACCCCAAATCAAGCAAAACAAGAATTACACGAAACTAAACCAAGGAAGGACTAAAATGATTTTTTGCAACATTTTTTGTTTAAAGCATTGCTGATTCTTTTTATGTTTTCTTTCCATAGTTGAGAAAACTTTTTTTCCCTCTTAAGTAATCTACAGCTTTACAGTAATTTTGTAAAGTATATTTTTGTGCACAAATATTGAAACATTTATCTTTTTCTTTACCTGAGCCCTCCAGGATTTAGAAACTGTATGTGAGAAATTCTATTTTTATGGCAAGATAGTTATTTGCATAAGTTCACTAGGAATCTGCTCTCTTCGGACTGGAAAAATTGGAAACACAGGTTATATCATCAAGGCTATGACTGGGACGTCATTTTTTCAGATGTGACCAGACTGCTTAAAGGAATGAACGTTAACTTTAAGGAGCCAATAAAACCCTTGAAAGAACTGGCCTGGCACTTTGTTCCTGAACTATGCGGTGCCCTTCCAGCACTTCTAGCCTTGCAGTAAGTAAATAATGTCATTTTCTGACAAGCCCAGGAACCTCAAAACATTTTGGAGACCTCAAGAAAAAAATTTACCCAGGTATCTCAGATAAAATCTGTTGGTAAGTCTGTGGCACGGCTTCCTAGTCTGAAGAGGGTTTTAGTGTTCTAATCTAATAAAATTCTTTACGAAAAGTTCCAGCAACGCTGACTTAAAAAGAGCTTATATGTTAAATCACTGTTCTTGCTGTACTTATGTAAATGATCCGGTTAAATATAATGACACTAAACTTGTTTTGTAAGTAAACTGGACTTATTGTGATTATCTTTGGTAAACAGGGAGGTGACTGTAGAGAGAAAAAATGTTTCAGAACAGCTATAGCATAGCTGTTATTAGATTCTAGCCCTGTCCATTGTTTTAGAGTTTTTAAAAATTATCTGGACTGAATCCTGAAGTTTTAGTTTCCTCTAATATCTGCTATGGCTCTTCAGACTAACATTCCCAACTTTCTCCCACCTTTCTGACTTGAAATCACTAGGAATTAAAACCGTGCCTTTCCTGAAGCCCTGCAAATGAAAGCTGAACAACTTGATATAAACTTTGGAGAAGTCATCACAATTTATTTATGGACAAAAACTTCACTGGAACGTCTGATGCAAACTATAATCCAGAAAAATCTGTCAGATTGCCACTGCCTGTCCACTCCAACTTAAAATTATTTGAACCCAAATCTAGAAATCTCAGCTGGTTGCTCTCCAGAAACTAGCTTATAGACTGCTTGAAACATAGACCTTTGTTTTCTTTTTATTTCCATACAAATGTCTCTGATAAAGTACCTGTGTGCCTACACCATATGGAAGACGTAACTCTTATGGAAGCCCACTTACACCACCTCTGAAATGGGATGCAATGATTTAACGGAACTGACCTATTTTCAGGACTGAAAGACTGATACAATAAGAGATGGAACAATGTACCCAAATTGGTTCCTTTCTGCTTGTTCCAAACTATGTTCTCCTCCTCCTTTGCCAAATCTCTTATCTTAAAACTTCTAACCCAAATCTCTCCAAAACTACCAACTTAGCTTTTAACATGTGAAACTTTCTGAAAGTAAAGCTTCAAGGGGGGACTGAAGGAAACCAAAATATTTCTCCCCAAAATATTGAGAATTGTTAAGTTAGGAACACAGAACTCACAGGGAAGCACTCTGCTGAAGCCTGTCTCCTGAGATCAGGACATAAATCCTTCCTTCCTGGGAACAGCGAAGGCAGCAGTGGAATCTGGGAACAGATTTTACTACCTTCTCTCATTTTTGTCCCCTTTTAAAACACTGGAGCTGCTGTCTCCTTTGTCTTATCACTATGCTAAGATTTATTGATCTTTGTTTTCAGGAAAGTTTCTCAACTGAACTTGTGAGGGTTTAGAAAAGAAATTTTACCATTTAGCAAAATCAAAATTATGCTAATCTACTATTCTAGGGGGGGTTCTAGATCCAAACTACAAACTTTTCTGACAGCTCTATGTAACCTTCAGCTGCAAGGATTTTAGCACCAGCAGCTGCAGCCTGGTTCTTTGAGTTTTTCTGCTGGACTGGAAGTTAGTAGGTGCATAGGAGCTGAGCCATGTAATCAGTAGAAGCGATGAAGCTGAGAAAGGAGACTCCCTTGCCTGGCTGCTCAGAGAGAGGAAGAGTTTGGAGCTGAGGTCAACAGCAGACGTACGGATCCCCAGGGGTTCCATCTAAATCCTGTTCTCTTTATCCAGTTTTCCATTTGATTTTCACATTTGGAGTGTTAGTTAACCTATATCCCTTCTTTTTAGCAATGACCAAAATCAGAGGAGCTTCGAATATAAACAAAAGAAAACATTAAAAACAACTTCCTTGAAAGCCCTAAACCTTTTAAAGTACAGATAAAGGAAGAGGAGGCAGATGCTAACGGGAGAGCAGGATGATTACTCTTCACAGACACTCCTCTGTGTGGGAGGAGCAGCCCGGCACTTGGCCAGCGTTTGTCTCTTTAACAAGGTGAACACTTGGAGATCTGATTTCAGAGACACGTACAGCAGCCTCTCTGAAGGAACGTAACCGCAGGAGAAAGTGCTTTAAAAGCTATCAGGATGCATGTTTAATAACACACACACACATTCCATAACAAATTTTTAAAAGTTTTTATTTACCTAAAAACATAAATTTATCAAACATATCAATTTGCTTTGCAGAGCAATTTACATAAAAATTCATGATGTATACCAACGACAGCATAGCATTATCTACCTCAGTTTGTGAAGCATCCTTTCCTACAGATCTCAGCAAAACGCAGAGCCAGTAGGGGAAATTCAAGCTTTCATTTGGGGGCCTCTGGGGTCCTACCTGCTGGCAGTTCTTTCAGCAGAAAGTGGGGTACGGGGGATGCTGAAGAGGGGGAAGTGGACCCCATTGCCTGTTAAGTCCCATCTGTCTCAGTTTGAAGCAACACGGGAATTTCCATTGGAGGAGGGTTGGCCTGCCGGCCTGGCCCTTCTCTCACGTCCCCTCTACTTCAGCTACATTTCTTATGCATGTTCCTCAAAGCTGTGAAAATCAATACAAAAAAAAACTGACCTTTACTTCATTCCTGTAACAGGCTATCAGGATCTCAAGGAGATCCACCTGCATCGAGATCAGTCTCAAAAACGGGGCATGTAAAACATAACTTACAAAATGGTGTGTAAGGTCTGAGAGCCTTCACGCACCATTCAGACAGATGCAGCTGGCCACAGAGGACTTGGGGAGATACGTAATACAAATAAAGACCTTAACCAATCCCAACACTTTCAGAAAAACTTTCACCTGTGGGGAAGTGGGGGCATGTGACTGGAGAGCAATGAACGGAAGTTTACACTGGATCTGAATTGTTACTAAAAAAGTAACTGACACGCACACACAAGTGGCCTTCCTGGCGGAGCATCAACAAAGCCAAGAGGTGCGAGTACCCAAGACTCCCAGAGTTGTTCCACCCCTGGGGCTAGCTGTATTTATGCCCTCGCTCAAAGACCAGCTTTTTCAAACACTAATACCTACCTGCCCTTGGTGGTAACAATACTGTAAGGGCTGCTCATTTCACTGTAGGATTTTACATTTTTCTCACCATGGCACAGTCTCTTTTTAGTTCATACCCAATAGTCTAGCTGGGTTTTCTGTAGGGCGACTAACTCTCCTGTTTTCGCTCAGGACTCAGGGGCTTCCTAGGTTTCAGTTGTAAATGAGTCGGTCACTTGGTTCTCTATAGTGTTCCAGGAGATATTAATTACTGCTTGAGGTTTTCCTAAATATACAAAATCTCAAGAACAAGACATAAACCAAGAAATGCACCTGGGAGACACATACATTTTTTCCATATGACCCAGTGCTCTTTAACAAGTCCTCAAATCTTCAACAGCACTGTCCACTGAGTACAAACTAAATTCTAGTTTGCCAATTCCACTTTATCAAGACAAGGAATGAGGAAGCCGTTCCTTTTCAGAGTCCTGAGACAAGTGCTAGGATTCCTAACCCTGAGTATTTCATAGCTAGTTCATTCCCTAGGTCATACCCTGGATCACTCAGAATTTTAAAAAGTCAACATACACATAGATGTAAAGATAGGAAAGGAGGTAGTGGCCCCAGCCAAGAAGCATTTTCCAGAAAATTCAGCTCCACTGTTAAAGCAGCATAATATTTAAAAAAACAAAGAAGAAGAAGTCACAAAGCAATTGAAATGGAGCATCCGCTTGGAGAATTAAGAAGACAGGGTGCTCCTGAGACAGACTTCCAAGACAGCTTCTTTGAAGTGCTGTGTGGGGTTAAATATTCTTCAGCAAAGAGGGTCACAGGTAAGGGCCCCGTGAAACAGCAGTTCTTAATATCATCTTTATCTTCCCTTAGGATAATATACCCCAAAATACTTTGCATCTATAAGATGTATACATCACTGCAGTTCACGAAACACAGTCTGCTGCCCAATACATATCCATGTTGCATGGCTAATGAAATGTCAAACCCTACTGGGTACATGGCAGTGGAGCTCCACAGCAAGGCCTCTGAGCAGAACGAGGTAAATCTTCACTGTTAGCTACAAAGAGCACTGCATGAAAGTGTGTGCAAGATGACTCCATGAGGTTTTCTTTTTAAGTTTATGTATATTTACAGAAAAGTGAAATGTGTTGGAAGAATAAACACCCCTTCTTGTGGACACTTTTAGAGAGGAGAATTTGGGCTGGGAAAAAAGGAGATCCTTTTTATTTTTTTGCTGTTCTCTACTGTTTGTCTTTTCTGTAGTTAATATTAATATTAATTGTATTAATATTCTGACTTTAATATTAGAAACTTTTTAAACATTAAAAAATAATGTTTCAGTGCTCACTGCTCACTAAGCTTGATAAAGGCTGAACTGTGTAATGTAGGGATACAGCAGGCACTTACTAGGTGCTTGTTGAATGAATTTAAAATATCCATTAGAAAAGCAGGAACACACATTTGAGAGCTACGCAATCTTCTGCTGATCCTGGGAGTAATAGTAAATATCCTGTAGTATGAGAAACGGCCTGGAGGTGACGCCCCAGTCTACTGCTGTACTTTCTCAAAACCACAAAAATGTAAGTGATAGGTATACTTAAGCAAGTGGAGGTCTTTGGGATTCTATAAATAGAAGCATTTGGAAAAAGCCAAGTAATTTTAAGGCCCTGTCAAACTATAATTGGCACGAGGAAGCATAGAACAGATGAAATAAGCAGAAACAGCCCACTGAGTGTGCAGTTCCGTAGTCAGCTCCATCCTGCTTCCAGTGGTGGGTCCTGGCAGTGCTCTCCAGCCTGGGAGTCCCCGGCTCCTCCTCCTTTAGTGTCGCCATGGCTGATCGCTGGACAGCCAAACAAACAGAGGAGCGTGGCACAGAGGAAGGGAACAGATAGTTAAGTACTTGGACAGAAGGGCAACAGTTCAAGTATTAAGATTTATGTTCCTTAATTTCTTCTTCTTTATGCGAAGAATTTTAGCATCTCTAAAGAATGAGGGTCAAAAAGATGCAGAAACAAGAAAACTTAACCATTACTTAGACATTACTAGATTGTAGGACAGACAAAAATGTCCCATCCAAGAGTAGCGCTCATGTTTTTTGACTCAAGAAAATAGGAAGTTTACTAACTGGCTTCCAGGAAAGGCCAAGGAGAGAAAGCCAATGGGAAGGAGGGCGGGGCAGAGGGACCCACACCAGGAAACCGCTGGCAGGTGGGGGATGGGCCTCCCCAAGGCTACAGGCACGGCTTCAGTCAAAGATTCATTTCCTTCACTCAGCAAGTGTCTTCCACAAGAACTGCAGCTCCTACATACATTAATACATTTCTTTTACGTGTGAGGCTTCTTCAATTTACATCTTACTTCCCTGAGAAATGGCACAGACATACCTACAAGCAGTCATCACTCTAGTCAGTGTCAATACTGAAAGGCAAGTTTTCTCTGTCTTCCAGCAAGACCTAATCTACAACAAATTAAAGAGCGCATTTCAGTAAATGTAAACACATCACTTGGTCAATTTTCACAGTGATCATCAATGATGGCAGTCTACAGAACACAAGAAATGCAAAGCCACCCTTCCTTTTGAAATAAGCTCATCTGCCAATCAGATGTCACTGATTTTCCATGCTTGTCTCGCCGCAATTCTCCTCAACCGCTGAACTGAAATCTCCACTTCTGAATTCCTCAAAACAGTAAGAGGGCAGTCAATTGGACGCTTTCACTAAAGTCAAATATTTACAATGAAAATCACTTGTCTTGGGTGGGTGCAGTGGCTCACACCTGTAATCCCAGCTACCAGGGAGGCTGAGGCAGGAGAGTCTCTTGAACCCAGGAGGCGGAGGTCACAGTGAGCTGAGATTGTGTCACTGCACTCCAGCCTGGGAGACAGAGCAAGACCCCGTATCCCCGTATCAAAAAAAAAAAAAAAAAAAGGAAAAAGAAAACCACTCATCTTGACATTTTTCATTCTTGAATAGAGGAATGGCGGATAGATCTGTGGTAATCTTCTGGATTGCTGATGTGTTCTGGTAAATCGTAGCCCCTCAGGAAATGTCCACTGTTTTGTTGAGCAAAATAATATAGTTGTCTGGCTAGCAGAGGTTCTACCTTTAATAAGAGATTTTAAAAAGACATTACTGAGATATCCTGCAACTGGCTCACTATTAAACAGCACTCAGATTCTAAGGAGACAGTAACGTAAAGCCCAAAGTTACATCCTAGAACACATCAAAACATTTCATATTTGGAGCCATCTAAAGAAGCAATTTTTTGGTTAGTCCTTCCATAGATCAACATGTAAAAAAACAGCCAAAGTGACTTAATTCTGGGTTAAAGATGTTACTTTCAAATCGACTGCCACTTAAAATGTACATTTAACTAAAACTGCATCAAATCAAGTAAAGTGATCAAATTAAAAGGAAGTCTGAGGGAATCTGCAGGGTAATTTAGGCCAATGATTTTGTTTTTCCACAACTGCAGTTTGAAAGAAACAAGGAGCTCATCCTGAATGATTTGATTTCTAGGTAATCTGTATAGTTCTCAACCAGAGGTAAAAGAAATAAAAAGTAAAGTTAAACAACAACAAAACTACTATTGTGGAAAAAGAGAAGCTAACTGGCCTCAAATTTATACTGTCTGGTTATTAGCGTGGATCACACTCACCAAAAAACAAAAACGCCTTAATGTTCAGCTTTTCCTGAATTTACAGCATCTAAGGCAAGCTGAATGCTCTCCATCAATCATGATATTAGAGACTGTATTTTATATATGACGACTTAAGCTAAACTCCTAAGTACCTGAAATGAATTAAATTAATAATTTTTAAAAGTGGAACTCATAGGTGTACACGTGTGTTTATTCATTTTATGGACCACGCAGCCTCGTCTTCAGCATGAGGGGGTCATCTGGGGATCCATCTTTCCCTGACTTAGAGGACAGTGACTTGCATCCATGTCAACTTTAAAACTGGATTGATGTGATAGCTGAGCTGATCATCAACTTCTTTTTTTGTTTTTTTTTTGAGACAGAGTCTCACTCTGTCACCCAGGCTGGAGTGCAGTGGTGCAATCTCGGCTCACTGCAAGCTCTGACTCCTGGGTTCAAGTGACTCCCTTGCTTCAGCCTCCCGAGTAGCTGGGATTACAGGTGCGCACCACCACGCCCGGCTAATTTTTGTATTTTTAGTAGAGAGGGGGTTTCACCATGTTGGTCAGGCTGGTCTCGAACTCCTGACCACATGATCTGCCCGCCTCAGCCTCCCAAAGTGCCGGGATTACAGGCGTGAGCCACTGTGCCCGGCCGATCATCAACTTCTTAAATGCTGCTTATCAATGCCAAGTTTATTTAGTCATTTAGCAATTCCTGTTGTTAACAATGTATCAGTTATTATTTCAACAATCATATCAATTATTAAGTCAATCACTGGAGAGAACTCATGAGAAAACTCCTGAGTCTATGGGATTATATACTGGTTGGTTGGCTGGTCTTTGTTTTTAAAATCAAGAAGGGGGGTTGTATGTTCAAGATTAAACCATGTTTCATTTCAGTTCTCAATGAGAAATAGCATCAGAGCTAGAACATGATGAGAACTTTGATGTTAGGGGGTGTAACTTTTACCTGGTATTGCTCAGCATGCAAGCCCGTTAATAATGCTTGCAAGTATGTAGCAATGTGAAGTTTTCAAATTCAAAAGTCTTAAGGGTTCAAGATTCTGTTTCCCATGGCAAATTAATGCTTCATGTTATCTATGGAAACCTTTTCTCATAAAAAAGAAAACTCTAACCCTAATCCTAACCCTACCCTTTTAGTGTTACTTGCCACAGTTGAACCCATCTTGAGCTATGCTAGAGAACATTACGAGAGGGTCTGATTTGCTTGAATTCCTTGAAAGATTCAGCCTCTTTCAAATATCATATGCCCAATAATTAAATAATTTCTAAAATTCCAGAAATAAAAGAGGTGCTAGGACACAGCTGCAGAGACCTACAAAATGCCTCCAGGGAATGGATAGTTTCTCATTTGGGAAAAGCTTTTCCATTGAATGAAGATCCACTAGCTAGATAGCATTCTTACAGCAATCTTAACCTGGAGAATTTTAAAGGGCAACTTTAACCATCAATCTTTTTCAATCCCTATAAAATGGAAATACGACAACTTTCCTGAAAAATAAAAAAGATGGGGAAAGAGGCACCCTCCTTTGAGGCTGTCCTCCCTGGTTCTTTGATGAGCAGATCTCAAGTCTGGGAGGAGCACGTGAGTCCTCAGACTGTGCTGCTCGTTGGACCATGCTTCCTCCCTCACTAGTTTAAGGGTTACGCTTATTTTTCCAGGTCATTTGACATTTACTTTTCATTTGGGACTTTTCTAAATGAAACTCTGGCCTTTACAAAGAACAGGAAGCCACTATGGTAGGAGTGTAACTGAGGACTCACGTGAGCTGTGATGAGCTTTCTTTGCCTCTGAGGGTCTGGAAACTCCTCTCCAAAGCATAGAGTCACCTGGAATCTTGGCAGGGAGCGGCCGTGGTGAGCAAACGCTTGCAGCTCTGTAGAAGCCCACAAGAAAGAGACCATGTTCAGAAACCCTCATCACCGAACACACCAGGTTAAACAGGAAGCAAGAGCTTACTGTGATTCTGAACACTGCAAGAGGAATGAGCACTCTTACTCCGCTGAGTGGGGCTCTTGATGTGAACATCTCAGATACAAAATAGCATGTATGCATTCCTTTGGGTGCTTTCCCCCCAGGGCCCTCGGTCTCCCTCGATTCTTCAAGAGGAACTAGTCGACAGCTAAAGAACACTGCTTTGCAGCATTGGACCCACGAAGATTCAAAAGGTAGTAGACCACAGTGAAGTCGGGAGATAAAGAACAAGAAACGTAGTCACGCAATGGCAAAAGACCAATTTATGCCATGGACAAGTTTTCATTTAAAAAATCAGAATGTTTCGACATCCCAGGATCATTTTAAAACCTCATCCCCTCACTACAGAGCCCACATAATCCAGTATCTGTGCTACTGCGGACATCCACGTAACTCAGGCACCACAGAAAATATGTAACGTCAACGTGGTGACTGAGCACCAGCCATCGGCAGCTGAGTCCCACTGTCACTATGCCTGAACTGTGTAACTCTGAGTAGACTTCTTGCCTGTCTCCAGGGATGGAACAGTAACTTGACTTGAGAACAGGAGTGGGGCAGCCCCCCTGGCCTCCCGCTTGTGGATATACACATGTACATCCTGAAGCCACCACACCTACCCAAAAGATACAAAACGGACTGGAACATTGTTGGAAAGACAAGTGCCCATCCCCTGACTTTAGCCCATGCTCCCTCCCCTGTACACAAGACAAATCTTCTGCCTGTAGCTACAATAAAATGTCACGCCCGCAAAAGAAACGAGTTGACACAGGAGCCGCTACAGCTTCTGCAGAACAGACGCGTCCTTATCAGATACACACCCTCGGGCCGGGCCCTGGGGGCTGTCCCTAGTGCTGTGCAGACCTGAATAGGAAGATATCAAAGATCTCCACTGTTCTCTTCAACTGAACAGAAGTTTCTAGCTAACTTACAGGACTATTTGACTTCCTGCTTTTTTTTTTTTCCAGAATTCAAATCAAACCCAAATGACTTAGTCAGAATCTGTAAAATACATTCACACTGCCGTGATCTGAGACTACACCTACACAGGCTAATCAGAATGGCGAGTTGGCACAATTCTCTGAGAAAGCATGGCTCCAACCCTAGATAACATGAGAGTGTTTGGTGGGAATCCTTAATTATGCAGAAGCTGGTTGGCACAGCTGCAGTTTTTACGTTCACAGCATCCTCCTTGAACCTCAGTGAACACTTTGAGGTGAGAGGCTGCAGTGGGCAAAGAGCACAGCCCTTGGTTACAGAGGAAGGAATGAAAGCCAAGACCAGCTCTTGCTCACAGATTAATAGTAAGTTCTAGTCGCGCAAGTCTACAGCCCCAGGACACTCACAGGCGTCCACCCCCTGCCTGTGCTGTCTCTCACGCAGTGCACCTGTGACTCAATGTGCACCTTCCAGCTTAGTCACCACGGGGGCTCTACCTCCCTAAAAACGCCCAGCAAGAGGCACTCAGAAAAGCCAGTGCCAGTTCCTTGTGACACTTTCATTAGAAAGCCCTCACCTTGTGGTATCTTCTGAATCCACTGGCACCAAGGTCCAGAGTCTTCAGAAATCCAGGCCCAGTGGGCCTTAGCCTTCCTGGCCCATGTGAGCTCTTCCAGATCCCAAGGCAGACACAGGAGATGCTGACAGGGGAGGGGGGGTCCCCCCAGTTGCCCTTCAATTTCCTTGGTCCCCCATGAACACCATGCCCAACCCCAAGAAGGATGGGACCGCCCTGGCCAGGGCTTGGGGATGGTTCTGCCCTTAGAATGAGAGGTGTCCAGCCCCAGGTGACTTCCTCACTTGCCGCCGCCTCGGGGAACCAGCACAGTTCTCCCTCTTCCTATGGTCAGCCTCTGTGTGAGCTTAGTTATTTTTTTGTGGTGCGGGGGGCAATGGAGTCTCGCTCTGTCCTGCAAACTGCAGCACCGTGGTGCGATCTCAGCTCACTGCAACCTCCGCCTCCCACAGGTTCAAGCGATTCTTGTGCCTCATCCTCCTGAGTAGCTGGGATTACAGGCGCCCACCATCACGCCCAGCTAATTTTTGTATCTTTAGTAGAGACGGGGTTTTGCCATGTTGGCCAGGCTGGTCTTGAACTCCTGGCCTCAAGTGATCTGCCCACCTCAGCCTCCTAAAGTGCTGGGATTACAGGCATGGGCCACCACACCTGGCCTGAAGCTTAGTTATCTGGGGACATATTTGCTTTGGGCACCAAAAGAAAATCTGGATGAGCTTACAAAAACTTGGGTCACTTACACCCAGAAGTACGAGCACATGTCAACAGTGCCAGAGCACACAGACGTGTCATATTTTTATTTTAAATAAGTTGAATGAAGAAGCACATTCAAGAAAAGGGGAGGCACATGAGAAATCAAAGACACAGGAGTTTCTGAAGGGGCTCAGGAAGGGACAGGACTGGGAAAAGGCAGAGGAAGAGTTGGCGGTGGGGTGGCGAGTGGCGGGTAGAGCAGCTCCCTCCCACGCGGGAGGCTCCCTCCACCTGGACAGCCCCACAAAGCCAGTGAGGAAGCCCAGCATGACAGGGCGAGGGGCTTCACAGAAGCCAGCCAGAGGTTCGCTGAATTGTCATGAAATCCAAGGTAGAAAAACAAAACTCACTGGTTCTGAAAAATATGCTTAGAAATGTTCATATCACAGAGCCAACTTATAGCACTCTCCTATAACTTCTCCTGTGCAAAACCAGTACAGTCCACTCCACCCTCCGTCTCACTCGTGGGCCAGCATCTGCATGAGGGTGACACACCTGACAACCAAGAATGTTAACAATATGCTTCCAACCTTTATGATTTTTCTGGGAACCTGAAAAGAGCCGCCACATCAGCAGACGTATTTGTCGAGATCATAGTGCAATGAAATGGAACTGTTTTAAGAGGCGACTGCTGAAAACCAGAATTGCAAGAGAACAGCCTGAGCCATGGTCCACCTGGACCATCTGATCCGGACTCTCTGCCCACAACAGAGCCAGACAGAAGATCTCTACTGGAGTCAAGCCCCAAGCCCAGTGGGCGCCGAAGTCAACAGGAGGAAGACCTCAGCCTGGGGTGGGAGGGACCCTGTGGTTTCTGACCCCTGTGGCAGGCAGGCCATCACCACCTCCATTCTAACAGATAACGAGGTGCCTTACCTGACAAGAACTGCTGTGTGTCAAAGAGCTTGCAGGTCTGGTCTCTCTCCAGTTTGTTGGGCCGGTCGTTGCACAGCGCCAGGGGCCCGTCCCAGTAGATCCTGCTCTGGCACAGTCTTTTCGCATAGAGCCCGTCGGGGGCCATCCAGAGGACCACGCCCCTCTCCAGGTGGCTCAGCAGCTTCTCAATGTTTTTCCTCTGGCCATTGTCCTCTGGGTAGGGGAACAGGACCTGGTCCAGGTTGCTGGCGTCATACGTATGTCCATGGGAGATCCGGCAGCCCTCGGGGCTGGACGTGGTCAGCTCCTTCACGAGGATTTCCCGGTAGTACAGGCAGATGTGCAGCCGGCAGTCTGCAAACACAGAGCTCCGGAGTCAGTGCTGGGGGCCAAGGACACCACCTCGAGGCCAACGACTCCACAGAGCCAAGCACCTGTGGTGGAACTCTAGTGTCCCACATGTCCCGTGGGGGAACAAAAGGTTCCCGCGTCAAGGAGGCCTGGGAAACACAGCGTGCCCTTGTCTCCCCCAGAGATCCACAGACAGCATGAGCTCGGTCAACACTTGGAGAAGTCCCGTGGAAAGAAACCCATTTAATCTGTCTAAACCAGCATATTACAAACGTATGTGGCCACCGACTCTTTTTTTAAGGAACAAGTGTATCTTTCATTAATTTTCTGGAAATGTAAGTTGAATTCCTATTATAGAGCATCACTATTAAGAACTTGCTAAGTCTTATTTGTGAATTATGATGATGATAGTGGTGATGTCATTTAAGTCATGTGTCACTGAATGAAAATTCATCTTTAAGCAAATCAATTTTTACTTTGGAGGAAATGAACCCTAAGTTTAATTTATACTAGCAAAAAATATAACGGTGTTTCAGAAAGAAGCAAGTCGGTCCACATACCTGAAACGTCCCCAAAATAATAACATGACATCATTTAGGTAAAAAGCAAATGTGTGTGTGTGTGTGTGTGTGTGTACATATATAAATTATATATAGAATTAGGTGCTTAATTATTTATGTCTATATAATTTATATATAAACACACTCACATACACACATTAAAGGGTAAGCACTGAGGCCTTAATGGTGATTTCTGGGTGGTAGAATGTGATATTTTTATTTTCCATTTTTGTTTTTCTGATTTTTAAATTAGTTTTCCACACTGGATATGTGGTGTTTTTATCACAAAATTAATTCTTGTGAAAAGAAAGAAATTAATGAGAAAAATACTCTAAAAGTTCATGTAAAGTCTGCTGAAATTCCCACTGGGCTTTGTGTTTAAGTTTGAAAAGAACTCTAAAACTGCGCTCTCTGAAACTTTAAACAAGATGAATCCATTTACAAACGTTTTGCTGATTTCAGAAGCCTCTTTAAAATATCGCCCATGAGTTGAAAGAACCAAGCTGGGTTTGCACAAGCTCCTCAGCCAGACCGCAGGGGAGTGGCACAGACAGGAGGCAGCTGCCACTGGTAACTGTATGGAACCCCAAAATCAATGGGAATCACAGTTATCTAATAAATGTGCTCATGGCTGATAATTAATCTGTATCATGCATACCAAAAAAAGAAACCCACAAAACTATCTTATTCCTCAACAGCAGGTTTTGAGACTTAACCCACATCACTGTCTCAATTCTCTGCTTCAACACACTGTCTGAAAGCGAGTCAGACAGTGCGCCCCAAAGAGAGTGGGTGTTGGCCATTCGAGGTGATTCTCGGGGCAGGTTTCATTTCATTTAATGTCATCAGAAATCACGAGGTTGCCGAGATATAAATAGCTGTTTATTTCCTACTCTTCAGGCACCCACACAAGTCTTAGGTGTTCAAGACAAGGGTTTGAAAGTTTCTAAAAACAAACACAAGCCTTCCTGCTCAGAAGCACCTCCTCCCAAAGGGCATCCTCAGTTACTCACGAGCACCTCAGAAAAAAAGGTGCAAGCCTCATTCACAACTAGAAAGAGCTGGTAGGTCAAACTCCAGCTCCCCTCTGAGCAGCAAAAGTGCCACAACTCTCGCCTCCCTGAAACCTTCAGAATTTAGTTAGTATTTTTCATCACTGATTTTTAAAGATGCCAGAGGGCAAGATGAGAATTCCAAACCTTAAGCTATTTGGTTTTAATATAAAAACAAATCCCATTTAAAAACAATCCAAAATATTATCTGAAAAATAAATATACATATAGCACGTGTGCTTGCCAAGCCTAGAGGTGCCTTCTTTATAGTAGGTAAGATCTCCATGGTGCAGGGATTTTTTTTTTTTTTTTAGAAATAAAACTTTAAAAATCAGATTGAATCCATATTTGTTTGCAAGCTATATTAAAGTTCAGAGGAAGACCAAAATGTGTATTACTCTTAGGCACATCAATGTTTTAGAGATGAGGGACCAGAACTAATGTCCCCAGGGAGTAGAGGAGGAGGACTTATTTGTGGCTCAACCTGGAAGGATGATCAGCTTCTCAAAATGAGAAGCCCTTCTACACTTCCAAGCAATTATTCCACATCGTGAGAATGTTGGCTGAAGAGGGGCCCTCGGTAAAGGTAAA
Source organism: Homo sapiens (assembly GCF_000001405.40). Taxonomy (NCBI): domain Eukaryota; kingdom Metazoa; phylum Chordata; class Mammalia; order Primates; family Hominidae; genus Homo; species Homo sapiens. The sequence goes on along the minus strand of NC_000006.12, from coordinate 399,223 downwards.
GGCACATTCCTAGAAATTCAGAGAGGTGCCAGTGAAGAAGCCAAAATGACTCCATTCAAGCCAGTGGCTGAAACGGTCAGCAGAACCACAAGCAGTGATGTCAGGTTTTCTAATGGTGCTCCTAAATCACCCTGGTCACCTCACACACAGGATGTGTCTACATCTACTCCAGACCCCAGAGGGAGCAAAGCAAGTGTCTAAAGTCCCATCGAATCTGCCCAAAGATGACAGAGCTGGCAGCAGAGGCTGGCCTCCTGCGGTGCCTCCAGGAGCAAACCCTGCACTCACCTGAGAACGCCAAGGCTTCGGCAGACCTTATGCTTGGCTCTGTGGGGACTCCGGGAGCCTGGGACTCAGGTGGGGCACAAGCATAAAAGGTTCCTGTCACCTGGCAACCTGCATTTGCAAATAAAAATCAGATGATGTCTAGACAGAGAGTCCGACGCACCGCGGGGCTTCCTGGGGTGTGTGTGTGAAGCCTGGGAAGGAAGGGGCTGGCGCCCAATCACCTTCCCACCCACTCCCAGCACCAGCAACTAGCAGGGCACGCTCTTGTGAGGCAAAGATGAGCTGGAGACCAACTGGAAAACCAAAGCTGATGGAGAAACGAGCCAGTGCACAGCTTTGGAAGGAAACTTGGAGCGCTCTCTCTGTAACTGACTAACAGGGAGACTGAGGCTCAGAGACAGATGACATGCTTTGTCCTTGTTCACAAAGCGGGTTCACAACAGAGCTGAGAGTTCAGGTCTACTTGAGTCTGTGCCAAAGAGCCCAATTAAAAACTAGCAAATTATTTAGTCCATTTTTATTTTGCTTGTCTCTTGTGGGTTGGGAGAACACTGAACCATGTTCCTGAAGACAATGTTGTATGAAACATGAATGGAAAAAGAATGTGGCACAGAACACCTGATCTTGCTGCTGCTTCATTTACTGTTACCGATGCTTCAAGACAGGTCTCTACCTACTCCATCACTTTACACAGTTCTAAGCATTGCCTCTTTCCCATGGTTACTAATTCCATAGAGCCAGAGCAGTAAACGCAAGTCTGAATTTCAGGAGCTAGTTTTATGTTAGCCAATTCCTCCACTACCATATTGGAAACCAGCCCTTGCTGCAAATCCCTCTTGAAAAGCCAATGCAACTGAATTCTGAGCTTTTTTGTGAACATGCCACTCAGTACAAACATTAAAGAGTGGTACACCTCTTCACTACCTGCAGCCAAGGATAACCTGAACATGACTGGGGAAAAAAAGGCCAAATTGCAAAGGAACAAATATTCCTAAAACATCCAAAGGGTTCAGTGTGTTGACCTGTCTCAGGACTTCCATTTAAGTAACTAACTCAAAAGTCCTGAAGGCCTGAGTTACCGCATTGCTAGATTCTCCCTGCACCCAGCTAATGAGAGCTTCTGCTGAGGGAGCTCATTTTGATGTCTGGGGAACTCCCGAGGGCAGGGGACCACATCTAATCCACAATCAGCAAGTCTTTCTGGGACCCAGTGGTAGGTAGGCACCTGTAGAGACGTTTTATGTGTTTGCCATGGTATTTTTCCGTTCCTTTTTTAGTATCACCTCTAATTCCAACAATAGCAACAATGAACACACCACTATTCGAGAGAAATATACCAGCTCAATAATCTCCCAGCATCCCTACTTATTATTTATGAGCTTCCACAATCTCCTCTCTATATAAAAAGTGGGGGGCTGTTTTCCACTGCCTGGAGTGATCTCTGTGGTGTTTAAATAAGATCCCACGAAGGGCAGTGCCTAGCATGGATCCTGAGAGTAAACTTGGCTGTGGGATGCCACCATCCCACAGGAGTGAGAAAACCCCCCTCTCCCCGAGCTGCACACGCAGCCTCTAAGAAGGGGAAAGAGCTTTGGTGCTGCCCAGGACAGACCAGGATTCGCCATGGCCCATGGCCACATTAGCAATTAGCTCTTCTATTTCCTGCACTGGTATCCTCCTTACCATTTTCACAAGCTGGGCCTTGCCAGTGGTGGCCGCGGGGTCCAAACGTCATGGGACATTGGTACGGGATTTCCGGGTGTGGCTGATCCGGGACGTAGTCCCTCCAGCTTCGGTCGAGGGGTGGCATCATGTAGTTGTGAACCTGCTAAAGGAGTGCAGGAGAGGCTGAGATAAGAAGCACTGGCATTGAGACGGGGGTAAAGGAGTGCAGGAGAGGCTGAGATAGGAAGCACTGGCATCGAGACGGGGGTAAAGGAGTGCAGGAGAGGCTGAGATAAGAAGCACTGGCATCGAGACGGGGGTAAAGGAGTGCAGGAGAGGCTGAGATAGGAAGCACTGGCATTGAGACGGGGGTAAAGGAGTGCAGGAGAGGCTGAGATAGGAAGCACTGGCATTGAGACGGGGGTAAAGGAGTGCAGGAGAGGCTGAGATAAGAAGCACTGGCATCGAGACGGGGTTAAAGGAGTGCAGGAGAGGCTGAGATAGGAAGCACTGGCATTGAGACGGGGGTAAAGGAGTGCAGGAGAGGCTGAGATAAGAAGCACTGGCATCGAGACGGGGGTAAAGGAGTGCAGGAGAGGCTGAGATAGGAAGCACTGGCATCGAGACGGGGGTAAAGGAGTGCAGGAGAGGCTGAGATAGGAAGCACTGGCATCGAGACGGGGGTAAAGGAGTGCAGGAGAGGCTGAGATAAGAAGCACTGGCATTGAGACGGGGGGTGCTCTTACAGCCTCCAAACTCCTCAGGGAATCCCTTATTAGACTGACAGCCGAAGCATTTTATCATCCGAAAAGACTGGAGTGAACCCTTCATCAGACTAAGTGAAAACACTCATGGAGGATCATAAAGGACAATGGAGATACTTGTACTGTTTTATGTAAAGCTTCGTCATATGGCTAAACCTGGCACCAAAAGTACCACAGGGGAATTTGCCTTCTTTTACCCACCAAAGTGGATGAAACAAAGCTGTCATTCACATCAAGAAAGCCTGAAGAGATCAGCTGCCCTGTGGTTTCACATGATAAGGCACTACTTCCAAAATCTTCCACTTCCACAAAACATCTGTTTCCCAGAAGACCTGAGAAGCATATTCCAACAGGCGGACACGCCCGACCCTCCCCAACTTAAAATCCACACCAATGGCAGCACCGTGTGGAAAGTGAGACATTCGTTCAGTGACCTGGGGTTTTTCTGGGCTGTTGGAGCAGCCATAGCAAATGGCAAGTTCTGCTGTCTGGGCTGCTGTGGTTCTCTGGCCATGTGGGCAGCTGGCCCACACAGCCTCGCCCTCAGGGAGCCCAGTGCCCTCCACCATACCTGGGCTGGGAGCGAAGGGTAAGGCGTTGTCATGGTGTAGGGGTGGCTCATGGACATCTGCGGGTCCTCCAGGGTGAGCTGCTTGGCTCCTACATGTTTGGGGAAAAGGGAAATGGCACAACGTAAAAACAGGAACTGACCTAACTAAATGTCAAATCTTGTAAAAATACCTGAGCATTTAATTCTTAGAATGCATAACACGGTGTTGACAAATAAGGTATTTTTCAGCAACTCCCTTGGGAAGTTATTTTTTCATGCTATTAAACTGATTTTTTTCTACAAGGTCTGAGTTGTACAGGACAGGTAAAGAAATACATGACAGATGGCATGCGAATGTGCCTTGTGACATAAAGGACCCCGCCAGCCAGATGTTTCCCAAGTGAGGTCACCTGAAGGATTTGTTCCAGATGCAGATTCCTGAGCTCTCTTCCAGACACACTGGTCAGAATCTTGAAAAGAGGGGTCCAGGAATCTGACTTTTAATAAACACCTCAGCTGACCATGTTACACTTTAAAAGTTGACAGTTTTATTACCATGCATAGTGATGAGATATTCCTCTCATTACTCCTTTTCTGCAAAATAGTCACTCACTAAAGACTATTAGATAAGTAAATTTTAACAAGTTATCCAGTTTTCTTTTTTCTTTTTTTTTTTGAAAGACTAACTGGAAAACACATATTCAATGCACCCCCCCCCATATACATTGAGGCATACAGTGTGATTAATTCTCCTATGCTGAACCCCACAGGAATTTCAACTTGTGACCCACATAACTCAGGCAAGGAGGCTGGGCTTCACTGTGAGGCAGAAGGCAGGCAGGCAGGCAATACAAAAGGAAAGCTAGAAAGTGATGCTCAGAATGAAGTTAAGGTGCCTCAAGGATCTGGCTGCCTCTGTTAGGTGACCCAAATTCAGGAGAGCCCCTACCTTTTTTGGCTCCCTCAGGAACAATCCTGTACACTTTGTACGGGTCTGAGATGTCCAGCTGGCTCCGCTCAACCAGTTCCTCAAAGTCATTGCTCTTGTTCAAAGCGCACCGCAGGCGCGTCTTCCAGGTGGGAGGGTCCGGCTTGTCGATGCCTTCTCGGAACTTTCCTTTAAACAGTGCCCAAGCCTGGTGGGAAAGAATGAAGAGAACGAAAAGTCAAAATACATGTCTGGTTTATTAGCTTTCTTTTTGGAATCAGAGTCCTGCTCTGCTGCCCAGGCTAGAGTACAGTGGCACGATGATAGCTCACCGCAGCATCGAACTCCTGAGTTCTAGGGTCCTCCTATCTCAGCCTCTAGAGTAGCTGGGCCCTCGGCCTACAGGTGTTCACCACCATGCCTGGCTAATTTTTTTAATTATTATTTTTTGCAGAGGCAGGGTCTCACTATGTTGCATAGGCATCCTTCCACCTCATCTTCCCAAAGTGCTGGGATTACAGGTGTGAGCCACCATGCTAAACCCAAAATACAGATATTTTATAAGGAATCTTGAAATTGTATTTCTAAAAGAAAGAATGGCGCATAGGTCCTTCAGATTTACACCGTTGCTCAGAACGTAAACTGAAAGACCCCAGCTATGCTCTAGGAAAATGATTTTCCATCTTGGACCCTATCACTGCCAAGTTGAAGACACATTTTCTGGGTATTTATAACCGGTAGAGTGAGATGCGGAGGTTCCTTGAGGGGGCTCTACCCACCCAGTGTCTGAGTGAGCTTGCCTAGGACTAAGGACAGCTGTGGTGTGAGCTGTCACCCACAGGAGACATCTGGATGGCAGCACAGCTGAGGCACTCTGAGAGCAAATTGAGACCAAATTCCCGGAGGAAGTCCCCTTCCCCTGCTCTGCCCACAGGTGGGGGCTGGGCCCAGACACGTAGTTCTCTGGGTAAACTGCCTTAGGGGAGAACAATCGTAACAACGACACACGTGTGTGCACTCGCGCAAAGGGCAAGGGAGACAGCTCTAGACAGAGGCCCTGAGTTCCACTGCGATGGGGGAAAGAGAGAGACAGAGACACACAAAGAGAAAGACAGAGGTGGGAGTACCCGCAGAGAGCTAGCAGGAGCGAGAAGAGAGGCTGACCTCAGGAAAAACATGGAGAGAGAGAGACTCAGAGAGAAAAGCAGCGAAAAGAGAAACAGAGACGCGGTGAGAGACGAAAACAGCCGCCGGCACAGGCGCGGACGCACGGAGAGGGCGAGGGGGACCCACGGACGGAGGCGGCAGACGGGAGCCCGGAGGAAGGGCGGGAGGCTTGCGTGGAAACGAGAACGCACGGACGAACGCGCAAAACCCCTCAAGCCTTTGGCCGCCCTTCCCCGGGCCCGGCCGGGCCTTCAGCGGTTTCCCTGCAGCCTCCACGCGCCCAGGACCCGGCTCCCGGCCCCCGCGGTCCCGCTGAGAGCCGAGGCCTCCTTTCCTCCTCCTGCGGCTCCGGCGACGCCACCTGATGCCTCCGCCGCCCGCCCGTCCGCCCCGCGCGGTCCCCTGGGCTCGCCTCGGAGGCGGCGCCGGGGACCCCGGGCTCTGTCTCTGGGCCCTCCCCGGCGCGCCCCCGCCGGCTCCCGAGGCCGGAGACCTTGAAGAGCGCGGCGTCCTCCTCGCGGTTGTAGTCCTGCTTGCCCGCGTGCTTCCAGGGGATGCGGAAGATGCTCTTCTCCTCGTTCTCCCACACCAGCCCGGGGTACTTGCCGCTGTCGATCTGGTCGATCAGCCACTGGCGGAGCTTCCCGTTGCCGCAGCTCACCGCGCTCATGCCGAACTCTCCGCCTCGGCCGCCGCCCTCCAGGTTCATGCCCCGCGTGCCGTCCGCGCCCGCGCCCGGGGTCCTCCGCCCGCTCTGCTCTGCACTGCGGGGAGAAGAGCTGCCCTTCAGCCACGAGGCACCGCACTCCGGGCACCCCGCCCCGATCCCCTGCGCCAGTGACCACGAGGCCCCGGAGTCTTTGAGGCTGCGAAGCGCGCGCGTGCCGTGTCAGGGTCGTCCGGGCCCCCGGAAGAAGGCACCTTCGCGGCCGGCCCGGGCGCATCCCCTGGGCGGGCACAGCCGTCCGCCTTCCGAGCTCGGCCCCCGCGAAGGCTCCTACCCGCCTGCTCTCCTGTAACGCACCCGCAGCCCAAAGGCTCCCGACACGCGCCGCTCGTCTTGCACCCTCTCTCCCCACCCAGCCGCCACCCCTCCTGGCCCTCCTTCCGCACTCACTCGCAGCTCTCGCTTGCCTTCGCTCACTCCCAACCCGCTTCTCGCCCCTTCCCCGCGACTCTGTCAGTTTCCACTCCCCTGGCGGCCTCCACGCGCGGAGGACCTCGCCTGCGGCCGGGCGTTCCAGGGGCGCAGCCCCGGGTTCCTCCACCCTCCGCTTTCTCTGCTCGCATCCAGACCCTTCGCCCCGAATAGGACCCCTATCCCTGCCCAGCTAGCGCGCACTAAGTGGGCTCTGCAAACGACAAGTGGCGCAGACGCGGGGGCTGCAGCCCCAGTACGGGGGATTCCGCGCGCAGAGCGTCCGCCGGACCCCGGAGCAGGCCCGGGAGAGCGGAGGCGGGGAGGGCGCGGGAGAGGGCGACGACAGCTGCGGAGCCTGGGAGGCAGGGACCGCGCCAGGCCGGCTAGGCCACCGCACGCAAGGCTCGGAGCGACCCAAATGTGGAGCTCCTCCTCCTCCTGCGCCAGCGGGTGAGCACCGCGCCGGAGGCCGCCGTGAGCTTGGGCCCCTTAGGAACGAAGAGCAGGGGAAGGAGCCTCGGATTGGGGTCCACAGGGCCGGGCCTGTTTCTCGCAGGCAGTTGTGCCGTCTTGTGTGGGTGCCTTGGACGGCCCCGCCTCAGCCACTCCTGGGGCCCCGACAGTCCGGTTAGCTCATCCCGTCCAGCTTGTGGCGACCCCGTCGCAGGAGCGCGGAGGGCAGGCGGGGAGGCTCGGGCAGAGCCAAGGAGGCGGGCCTTGGAGCCCAAACCAGCGCCTCCGGCTCAGCGCAGATGGGGTGGGAGTCGGAGCTCCAGGACGGGGCGCGCTCCCTTCCCGCTCCGAAGCCGGGGTACCCTGCGCTGCCCTGGAGGTCGAACCTCTGGTTCGCGCTCCGGGTCCTCTCTGGTATCAGCCTCACACCCCTCCTCCTGCCCGACTCCAGCCCTTACCTCGCCCTGGACTCGGAGCTGAGGGCAGCGGTGGGTCCCAAGATCGAGCGGTGAAACTGAGAGTGCGAGGTGGGAAAGAGGAACTTTATAGAACTCTCTGGGGCGGGGCCTGGGGCGGGGCGGGGCGCCGAGGCCTGTGGGGGCCGGGGGTTGGACTGGGGAGAGGGACTTTGCAAGCCGAGAGCCGGGGCCGGCCGGGCGGGCGAGCCTCAGGGCCGGCGTGAAGGCTGGGGGCTGCCGCGGCCGGGGTGGGGTTCCCGCGCCCTTGGCGACCCTCCGCGCGCCGCGCCCGGAGAGCGCACCTCCAGCCGGGCGCGCGCCGCTTCGGGGACTGTCACTGGGGCCGTTTCCCGCGAAGGGCGAGGTGCGAAATGCGAATCTCGCCTTTGCGCCAGGACCTCAGGAGGCCAGTCAATCACTAAACTGCAGCGATGTGGCCAGGGCGGGAAATGGGGGGCGTGTAGTAGCGGGAATCTGGTGCGAAGGGGACTTCGCTTTGCAGAGCGTGTAACGGAAGACGGAGGAATGGTCCAAAGAGAACTGGAGGTGGAGGTTGCGGGAGCACCCTCGGCAAGGCCATCACCGGGAACCCTGCCTCTCCGCGGTGTTTAGAGAACATCGCACTCACTAAAAAGAAAATAGGAAATGGCCCAGCTCCCTTGAGCTATTAAGCTTGATTCAAATACTGTCTCTGCGTGTCTGACATGCTTACATCCTTTTGCATCTATTAGGCTGGTGAATTGAAGTGACTCAGACAATGCCCCGGCCCCGAAGTTTTAATTATCTTAGCATGAAAGAGATGGGGGCGGGGAGAGGCTCCCTAAGGATCCAAGTGCTTAATCACTTCCAGACTTCAGTTCACCTTAAAATGATGTCGTTTTAACCTCAACCTGGAGGAAAGCAGTTTACCAGTGGGGTATAAAAGCCCAAAATAGGCCAGGCGCTGTGGCTCAAGCCTGTAATCCCAGCACTTTGGGAGGCCGAGGCGGTGGATCGCCTGAGGTCAGGAGTTCGAGACCAGCCTGGCCAACACGGTGAAACCCCATCTCTACTAAAAATACAAAAATTAGCCGGGCGTGGCCCCAGCTACTTGAGAGGACGAGCCACGAGAATCGCTTGAACCCGGGAGGCTGAAGTTGCAGTGAGCCGAGGTGGGCGACAGAGCAAGACTCCATCTCAAAATAAATAAATAAAAGCCCAAAATAGGAATAATACTTAAGTGGACCAGGGATTTTACATACTTTTCCAAGATGTCCTTAATCGCAAAATTAACCCCCTGAGCTTTCACCCGTTGAGCTTTCGATCGTCTGAGATGCTGAGTATGTGCATTTACTTCGCATTTTCAGGTAAACCATCAGATCTCTGGTTTCTATATGATTTTAGACCACCACCACCGTAGGTCAACCTGCAACTTTTGAAAAGCTTTTGATTTCACTTATTTCTCAGTTTTTGTTTTAATCTTATATATTGGGTCAATGTCTCCTAACCAAAGAAGAATCTATGTTTAGGCTAGAGCAAAACAGGTAGTGAGGTATGGATAGGTATGCTTTTCCTAAAACCAACAGACGTTCTCAGAAATTAACAGGATGCCATTTTTTATTTCACCCAAGTAAGTTTTCCATTACCAAAGTCTATGTAATAAACAACAGGGTTTTGTTCACAAAAAGTTCTGGTCACAACCTGTTTTTCTTCCTTTCCTTTCACAGATTTATTCACTTGACAAATGTATTTTGAGCACCTGCTACTTGTCAGGAACCGTCCTAGGCACTTGGAACACATCAGTGAACAAAGCAAAGATCGTTGCCTTCTTGTTGCATTATATTTTAATCAGTGTTACCTTTCCCTCAAACGTTCACAAACATACCAGAGAGGAGTTTGCTGAGGACAAAAAATGGCAAATGAGAGCTTTTTGCACTTTCGTATACGTGTCCTCTGCACCGGGTTTAGTCATTTTCAACATACCCTCCCCTCACTCATCCACATCCTCTGCTTTTAGTTCAGAACAACAGTCGTTGTGTGAAACTCTGAGCCTTCACACCACTACCTTGTTTTTAAATGTAATTGCTAATCTTCAACGCCATCTTCTGGTTTACTCATTTGCCATATTGATCCACTAGAAGTTATTTTTCTTAATGATGATGTGAATACAAGTAATAAAACATTTTAATCACTAAAACTCCGGATGGCCTCATTACCCGTCAGGGAGGCAGTGAACAGGTAGCAGCTGGCAGTGGTGACCAAGGACTTTTATATCTTAGTCACGATTGAAACAAAAAACGGCAAAGGTTCTCAAATTGAAAAGCTTCCCCACCAAACTCCCACCCCCTCCACACACTGAGACTTGAGAAAATCGGTATTCCTTAGTAAAAGGCTGGATATTTATCAGTAAATGACACAACTTGTTGACAAGCAGAAACTAATAGGAAACCAGTTCATTGAATGTGTACCCAAAACAAAGGCTGACCGTGATATTCCACGAGGAAGTTACTTATTTAGTGAATTATCCGTATGTTGAGGTTGTAGTCGGCACACCATCTGAATGGAGCATTTCCATTTTCAATTTCACATTTATCGTAAAGAGTCTGCAAGAAAAGCTGAATTTACCTCAATTCAGTATTTTAAAAGCCAATCTTTAAAATTATACATTCACATGCAAGTAAAATATTTCAGAAAAACCCATCCTACACACACAAACACACACACTAGATTCTTAAAATCTTGGATAACACTATTTTCCCACTAATTCACTCTTTAAAGGGGGGGGCTACAATTGGCTAAAAACAATGCAACTGTATCCATAAAGAAATATAAAGGGCAATCATTTTTAATTACCAGAAAAAATCAGGAAAATACTGAAAGTGCTATTTTCATGTAATTTATATAGAATATATGTCTCTTCTAATCCTCTTTGGTTATATGTGTTTGCAAATCTAATTACTGGCCATGACACATTGCATGGCCAAAAGGTAGTATCATTGGGGATTAAATAAGTGCTTGAGTTTTTAAGGCTGTGAGGCCTTGGGAGAGCCATTTAACCAAAGTCCTACTTCTGGGTGTACAAGGAGGGTGGGGGTGTCCCTGCCTCCCAGCAGTGTTTGTTGTGATGATGAAATGATGCTTTGCGCAATGCCTGGCACATCATCATGTTCAACAAATCAGGGCTATTATCATTTACTACGCACTTCAATACTTAGGGGTATCTCACGGACTTTCACTCATTTGGCCCCCAAACCAAACCTGGCAGGCAAGGAAGGCGGGATTCAGCCCAAGTGTAGGGAGAACGAAAGAGATTGTGAGAGGTCCAGATGGCTGGCCCAAGGACACAGCTCTGAGGAACTATTTTTTCTCCTTGTACACAGGGATTGGCTGCATTTGGCATGACTATTTCAGAATCAGCCTCTGAGTGCAGGCTGTCATAGGAGGGGGAGTTTCATCTCTGGTCAGGTCAGTGTGGGTAAGAAAGTCTTCCCTGGCCTCATCCTCCGCCCCTGTGAAGTGGAGGCCGGCGGCAAGTGACCACTGAATCCTCGTTTAACCCTAAGTAGGTGTTTTTTTCTTTCTGTTGCAACTTAGGATCATTAATGGCTGCCTCGTGGCCTTTTTGGTTATGGTAAATTCAGAGTAAGGAAAGCTGCATTTTATTTTTAAGCCATGGATCTAACCATTGACCTTCACTTTATTCTTCTTCACAAGGCTAAATTCTCTTTGAGGAAATGAGAGAAACCTGGTGCTGCCTCTTAGCCACTCTTCTCGAATGTTTAATCCTCTGGAAAAAAAAAATCTAACCTTCTAAGCTACTTATACCAGAGAGGAGTTGGGATGGAACACTCTGGAAATGAGATTATATTATAAATGCTCTCACTGCACACTCAGTTTAAAATAATTGAATGTTATTTGAAAAGTGATAAATTCTTTGGTAATAGAATACAGAGCATAAACCTGGATTTTTTCAAGTAGAGCTGTACACATTTTCCTAATTTAATTAGCAGAATGCCCTGAGTGCCTTCAATGAGAAAATTTGCAGAGCTTCGACAGTAAGCATTCCCAGGGCACAGGGCGTTCAGGACCAGCTTGTGATCTCTTTGAGGGCAGAGTTAGTAAGCGGGGCTTTTTCCTACATGCAGAGAAGAACCCGCTTTCAGGCTTGTAGGAAATGAGACTTGTGATTGTAATCGATGACGTAATGAGAAGCCAAGGATACGAGGTGATGTCTCCTTTCCCTGTTTATAAACAGCTCTTCCCTTTTCGCCTGCTCTTCTTGCCAGCATTCTAAGAAGAGTCCTGGCAACACTTCCCACCTCTCTGACGTGTCATGCTCTCTACAGAAACAGTGACGTGGCTTTACACAGGGCCAGTTGACACTGCCAACTCCTTAACCAAGCCAATGAAAACGCAAATGGTTTGCAATACCTTTGGGCAATTTTCTGAAAACTGAAGCAAGAGGTGAAAGGCAAACGGCTTTGTCTAATTCCACCCATTTGTAACAGCGCCTAATGTTGGGTTATTCTAAAGTTCATCAACGGCTCTTTCAGCGAAATTTTGTGAAACAGCATACCGTCACTTGTCACACATAAGACTCTAGGCATGCTGGATAGAGGAGTGTATCTTTCTAGAAAGGTTAGGTTATGCTGTGGTAACGAGACCCCCTGAGATTCTGGGGGGGGGGTTACTTCTTGTTCAAATGAGATATCCATGGCAAAGCCACGGGGATCCGGAACATTCCTGGCCACCTGATGGAGAGAAGGGTACGGGAGAAGCATGTGCTGGCTCTGTTAGTTCCTGCCCGGCAGCGAGTTACATGGCTTTGGCTCATATTCCCCCGTAATAAGGTAAGAACTACAGTAAAGGAGGAATTATCTGGCCATAGTGTGGGTACCGCCCGAGAGAGAACAATGGCCAGGAGGCCGGGGAGGCCTCGGGGTGAGGTAGAGAGCTCTCAGACGGGCAGGTGCATGGGTGGCAGAGGAGGGAAGGACAAGCAGTTATGGGGCTGAGTAGACGTGCTCGGCAGGGGGTGGGGCGGTCGGGGAGTCAGGGGTTGCTGGAGGGTTTCCAGGATGGGGAATGACACAGGAGTCCCCTGTATCCACCGTTTCCCTTTCCACAGTTTCAGTTACCTGAGGGCAACCTCAGTCTGAAAATAAGAAATGGAAAATTCCAGAAATCAACACTTTGTGTTTGAAGTTGCATGCCATTCTTTGCAGGGTGGTGACATCGCGCAGGGTCCCGCTTCATCCCTTCTGGGATGTGAACCACTGCTTTGTCCAGCAGACCCCACTGTATATGCTGCTGGCCCATCAGCCATGTGGCAGCCATCAGGCCATTAGAGGGCAAGTGCCATGCAGTGAGATGTTGGAGAGAGCAACAACATCCACAGCTTTCATTACAGCGTATGGTCATCATTGCTTGGTGTTATTATTAGTGTTGTTAATCTCTCACTGTGCCTAATTTATAAGTTACACTTTATCCTAGCTATGTACGTACAGAAAAAAACATAGTCTATAAGGGGCTCAGTACTGTCTTCTATTTCAGGCATCTGCTAGGGGTTTTGGAACATATCTATCCCCTGAGAATAAGGGGGGACTACTATTACCAAGAACCCTGATAAAGAAGTGAGGAGGAGGAACACGATTACCGGGGAGACAGGCGAAGTTAGAGATGCTGTCTCACCATCCATGCTGAGTTATTTATCCAGCAGGCATTGGGAAACACAGAGTTTCTTTCAATCACCTTTGAACCGTGACATCTAGAAGTAGTGAGTGGCTCATAGTAATATGCTATAAACATGACTGTGTCTTGCCTCTTGGGTCATGCTTTTGTTGACAGTGATCCTAGTCCTCCTTCAGCCTTTAACAGGGACGGTGGCAGACTCTGAGATGGAGGTCAGCATGTATGATTAGGGAGCATGCTTGGTTGGAGTCAAGGGGAAGGGAGCAGAACTGGGCCGAGAGGTGCCCGTGATGCAACGCCAAGCCAAATGGACTCCAGTCAATGCTGCAGAAAGCTCTGGAGCTAGGACGAGCCTGTTCCAGCGTGGAGTGAAGGGATAGGGCCCCCGCAGCCCTGACTGAGCTAGCATTGGGTGCCAGCTGCCTCTAGAGGAGACGTGACCTGGGAAGTTCGTTTTCTCCAGCTGGAGCCATCGCCACAGAAGGCTGCCTGCTGAGAACCACCTCCCAGGAGCAGTCTCAGTACCCGAGGGAATGAACCTCTCACTCCCAAGTGGGAATCCAAGCAGTGCACAGCAACATCCACCCAAGTCTACACCTCGTTCTGCTGTGATCCATTTCCTCTCATAGCTCCTGAGGGCAGCTCCTCCTGGTTCCAGTGGGCCTCCATCCCTGGAGGAGGGTTGCCAGTTTTAGCAAATAAAAATGCAAAACTCCCAGTTAAATTGGCATTTCTGATAAACATTGAATAACTTGTTTTAGTATAGGTGTATTCCATGCAATATTTGGGACGTACTTACACTAAAGAAACTACTTGTTGTTTATCTGAAATTCAAATAGCAACTTTATCCTGGAGAAAACTTAGAAGAGGAAAGTTAGTGGAACAGATTCCAGCCTCAGCCCCTGCAGCTGGAACGCCAGTGAAGACTCGTGAGCGCCTCCTGCTCTGTCCTTTCTAGATGCTCCCACCTTTCAACTACAGCTCAGTGGCCATACCCAAGCCTTCATCCTTGAGGGCTTTGAACTGGTCACGGTGCCCTTCCTGGTCCAGGGGTGCTGCACCTCCACATACCATTTTCCATCAGTACACACAGGGAGAGCCAAGAGGTGCCCGGATGGGTTGCCGGGGTCCTGCCCCATTGTATAGCAGCAGCTCCACACCTCCTGATGACCAAGGTCAACATGCCTTCTTGCTGCTAAGCTCCACCCAAGGAGCCTCCCAGAGGCCTCCCACAGCTTAGAGTCTAGTGGCACCCTTTCTGTGTCTCCTGGAAACTTGCAGAAACAAGAAGCACAAATTCCCCAAGGGGTCTCTGAGAGTTTTGGTAAGTGGGCCGTTCCTCACCCCCACCTTGGCTCGTACTGAGGACAAGCACTATGTGAAGGTTTCTGACGCAGTGTGCGAGCGAGCTGCATCCTCCCAGCCCTTCTCCCACAGCACGCCCTGGCTGCAGCACTTCTGCCTGGCTTCCTGTGGTTAATGCTGTCTCACGTTCCTGGGAGCCATCCTAGCTGTGTGTTTCAGCATCTCTTGGGGCCTTGCTGGGTGCTCAGTGCTGTGTCCCAGGAGCATGGCCACAGACTGAACCACTCTCTCTTATATGAATCTATGCTCCCCATACCTCCTTGGCCCAGCACTCTCAGACCCCAGGACCGTGACTGCTCTCCTGGATCCTGCTGGCATCTCTTTCTTTCAGACACAGCCCCATTCCTCCTTAGCATGCCCACCTGGTCCCCAGCTAGGCAGATTCCCCAGCCAGGTGGATCCTGGGTGGGCAGGGGGCATGTTTTCTTGCAGGAGAGAAGCCTCTGTATTGTTTCCAAATCAGGGTAGCACAGCCCTTAGGAGGAGGGGGATCCCAGAGTTCCCACAGTGCTCCCAGCAGCCCAGGGCATACATCCTTCTTTCCTAAGTGCTACCCGGGCAGAGCCTCCCAGCATGTGCTGCAGGGATCTTGTGCAAGGCACATCTCCTGGGGCACAGTGTCTTCTCTGTGCAATTCAACCATCCATTTCTTTTAACCATGATGCATTAAGCCAGTGCCTCCCAGGCTTGGTGGATGGGGTCGGGAGTGGGGGAGTGGACAGCCTCAATATGAGGTCATTGCACCTCTCAGGGAAAGAAGGGTTGGCAAGGAAAGACCCCACACATAGCTCAGCAAACCAAGCATGATGCAGTAAGGCTAGTGGGAGTGTGTGAGGAAGACGTAACATGCAGTGACATTTGAGCAGAACTTTGATGGAAGAGCTGGGCTTCTCTAGGCAGGGCAGGATGTGGGGGGATTCCTGGCAGGAGGACCCTGGGCGATGACAAATGGGCCAGGAACCTGAGGCCTGGTTCCCAGGCCACTCTGGGTTCTGGGTGTGGAGTCGTCCTCTGGCTGCTTGGGAGGACTCGGGAGAGCATTTTGGAGCGGGAGCTGCTGAGTGTGCCTTTGCTCCTTGCTTTCCAGAGGTCAGAGCAGTGGCGGGAGAATGAGGGTTCAGGTGCTTCCCAAATGAGAACAGATTTTAGCCAGAGGGTCATTAGGTTTATTTCAACATCAACATTAGGTGACTCATCAAAAGTCCTCTTTCAGCTTCCTTCCATATACGTTTAGCTTTAAAAAATCAGAACATTATCTTTTCTAATGCTCTGAGGCTCCCATTCAGGAATGCAGTTGATTTTTCCCGTTTCAGAAGCGTGAGCAGCTACCCAGGCCAAGTGGGAGGGCATTTCCACTGGGACAAGGCCTTAGAGGTCTACCCCGCACGTGTCCTGCAGAGCCACAGCTTCTGTTGGGGTGGGCACCTTCGCAAGTGTGACACAGAATCCCTGCTTTGAACCTTTGAACTTGAGTGAAGGGCTGTGGCCTCCCAGAACTTTCTTGGCTTGCCTGGGGGCTCCCCAAGGTACTGTGGCATTGCAGTACCACAAACCCACGCACTCAAGTCCAGACGTTGCTTAGGATGCAGAGAGCGATGCGAGGCCTGGCCCATCTGATGTGATAGCCTGGCCCACTCCCCTGACAAGCTCTCCTTGCCCTTCTTACTCGCTGCACGGGAGGCGTGGTACCTCCATGCGGCACCTGCCCACCAGGGGCAGCCTGCTGGCTATGAAGCTTCTCTCAGACACCAGAGAGGCCGTGCGATGCATTCAACCATAGTTTCCTCAATGATTTCCCACTATAGCCTGGTGGGGAGGAGAAGCAGGCTATAAGATTCGGCTTCGGAGATGAGCCCATTGATATGGGAGAGGTCATTTGGAGTTGCTGGATGTCAATAGAAGCGGGAGCACGGGCAGACCCAGCTCTGGCTCAGGTGGGCTGGGGAAGCTAAGCTACACAGACGTAACCGGGCTTGTATTTGCACAGTGCAGCCTCAGCTGCCTCCTGGATTTGCCCCCTCCAGTCTTCTCCCCCCTTACTCCTGACACTTCACGCTGGCCCAGGCCTCTGCCCCACTCGCCTCTTAGCCCACCTCCCTCCCTATGGAGAACACGGAGGCATGAGATGCACCTGTTGGCTGCCCCATCCACCCCTCTCCTGCTGCCTTAGAGGAGGTTCCTGCCTCCCTGAAGCCTATCAGGGTGGTCCAATGAGCGAAACAGGGAATAACTGGGGGCGCCACACTATGCTTATCCTGTGGCCCTTAAGCAGCCGTTGCAGAGAGGCCCTGGTGCTCATTCCTGCACTAGGTGTGGCTCAGTCATTTCATCTCAAACCTTCAGAGTTCTGGGAAGGGTTGAAGCAGAGGAGTGAGACAAGGGAGGCACCCACGGCCCTGCGGGAGTGGACACGCATCCTGCCAGGGGCATTCAACTCACAGGGACAGTTTGGGCATTGCACAGCGCGTGCCGGCATTCTGGAAAGGTGTATGCTATTGTCAGTGTTTTGCGTAAGGCATATTGGACAGCACCCAATAATGGCAGCAGAAGGTTTCAAGAGGACGATTCTACCAGAACCATCACGAGACTTCCGCGGCGATGTGAGCCTCCTTCCTGCCGAGCTTGTGGGCACTCTGGCTGTCCTCTTGCTATCCCTTCTTGGTGCCTTTGTGCTGTGGGGCCCTCCACTGAGGCGGGCTGAATCCTGGCTGTCTTTGTACACCCCGAAGCCTGCCGGAGGTCCTCAGTGGTCACTGAACTAAACAGCGTCCCTCATCCAGTTCAAACTGAAATTTCAGTTATGAAACTCCCTTCAGAAATTCCCTTTCTATTCTGAATGTTGTGCTTTTTCTTTCAGTTCTTTGCAAAATCACCAAAGCCAGGAGGCAGTGCATTGAGAACAAATCCATGGGCTAGGCTGTTTTCTCTGCTCACTGAATTCAGTCTCTGTTTTAATTTGGTATTATCTGCTAAGTGTAAATGGAGCTAACTTATATCAAAGATAAGATCTCAGGAGTTATGCTGTGAATATTTTAATTACACTTCTTTGGCAGATGTATTTTGCTTTACTTGAACACTCATGGGTGGCTGCAGTCTCTGATGAGATGGTCACAGTTTCACAAATTAATTCTTCCTGGTTCCATCTGGGTATGTTCATCAAGGGTGAGCTGCACAGAACTTTTGGGAAGCTTAAAATGTTAAATGTTGCTAATTTGTGATTTATGTGAACTTTTTATTTTGTAAGTTATATACCTTCCTTTTGGGGGTGAAGTTTGTACTCTTTCCTGACTTCTTTTTATACTGTCTGTAATAAAAAGCCCCTAATACATTCTTCTCCTCTACCAGTCTGGTTTATGCATTATAAACCACCCTCCTTTTCTATTTCATGGAAACTTCTGAATTCCATTTGAAAATCAAGTTCAAGTTCCAGTTGCAAAGTTAAGTTCCAGGATGTGTTCATTTTGATATCCCGGTTAAAACGGAGCCATCTGGCATCAGAAGGACACTTGAGAGTTACAGAGGATGCATCCTTGTGGCAGTCGGAGCGAGATTTCTGTTGGCTTTTTCATTTTGTGTAGTGGAGGAAGATGTCCCAACATGCACTGTGCAACCCCAGGAGGGACTCTACTTTTCCAGGGACCACGAAACCTATGGTGTGACCAGGCCTCTCAGAGAAATGTAAGCGGGAGCCATGCTGCGGGGTGCGGGGCCACTGCCCGTCCTGCTGACGCGACGCGCCCTCTTTCCCTCCACCCCTCCTGACTGGTATCTCATGCTGCACTCCCCATGTGCCAGGGAACACTCCTCTGCCTTTTTCTGAGTCCCTGCTCCGGAGTGGTGCCCTGGCCTGTGAAATGAGGAGACCTCCTACTGCACATGCTCCCTCCCTTCTGGCGAGGGGGCTCACAAAAGCAGGACTTGACATTGGTGGAGTTCCTCTTGCAATGGTTTCAAGCTAGAATCGCATCCTGAGTCTGAACAAAGCATGGGTTTCTTCTCAGGTTCTGTGATTTCTTTCAACCCAGTAGCTTTTGTGAGGCACAGAACCAAGGTACTGAGGAAGACACAAGGATGGCTAGGACACGGAGCCACTGTGAGGGGACATGCACAGTCCCTTGCCTGGCACTGGGGGCACGCCAGCTCACTCGGGGACAGTGTCATCCTCCAGGGCAGTAGAAGGTGGAATGAAAGACAATGATGACAAAATGGTAAGGGGGAGGAGGCAGCTGGCATCGTGAAGAAGGTGGCGTTTCACCTGAACTTTGAAGTCATGAGATTTCAATCCACAGAAGCAGGAATTCTAGGCGGAGAGCCCAGCCTGGCAGTAACTCCTCCCGTGTGACAGTGGAACAGCAGGTAGTCTGGGCTGGGGGCGGGACCCAGGGCGTAGAGGCCAGAAAGGAGGTTTGAAGCCCATCCAGGAAGACCGTGGGGAGGGAGCCCCAACGCCAGCGAAGGAGTCCATACTCCACGGGCAGGTCACTGGCCCTTCAACGTCACTGGATGTCAGAATCACTTGCAAGCCCCAACCAGCTGTCTGGCTTCAGCCAATGGACCCAGGAATCTGCATTTCCATCAGACAGCTGTGAGATTTTCATTTATGGGGTCTGAGAACCGCAGTCTTTGAACCACACAGCTGGAGAAAAGGGAGGCTGAAGGAGGCACATCAGACATTTTGTGCCAGGGGTTCCAGGCTGGACTGGAGGCGCAAGAGAGCCCCAGTGGAAGGACTGGATGCTGCTGGGCCAGGGTGGCCCTGGGGATCCGGGAGGGTGCTGCCCAGGAGGGCTGTCTTTGAACACCCCGGGAGGCAGGACCCCAGAGATGCTGAGTACCAGGGGCCGTGGCGCCATCATCGGGGACAGGAAACCGTGACCGAGGAGTGGCATTTGGGATGGAAGGTAGCAAGTCTGGCTGAGAACTGGCTTTGCAGCACCAGAGGGATGTTCTGGAGGACTGTCCCGTAAAAACCAGCTGGAAGTTCACTCCCAAAGCGGGCTAGGTAGGTGGACCCGGCCTGGGTGTGCGAATATGGCACTCATGGGCAGACACACAGGGAAAAGAGGGCTCGTGACCTGTGCAGAATGCCGGGGACATTGAGGTTAACAGCAGGCTTCTCTATTTCCGGCCCCAGGCGTCTCAGGTTAGGGCCAAGGGGAGGTCAGGAGGAACCAGGTTTCCTCTGACCGTAGCGCTGATCACTTCCCTGCAGGCAGGTTTTCTTCAGCACAGCTTTGGCGTGGCCCTGGGGGGGAACAGCGAGGTAACTTCCTGTCCAGGCTGCCGGGCTCTGGAAGTGCCGCAGGTGTCCACGCCTGTTGGGCAGACGCACGTGGGGAGCGGCCCTGGGAGGAGCACGGTGACCAGGGCAGGGGGTGTGCGGGTGGAGGGGCGGGATTGCCGGGCCCTTCCTATGAGCACAGCCACTGCAGGGAGGATTCTTCTCCAAAACTGGTTTTGAAACATTAAGCCACATGCTAGGAGGAGGGAGCCTCGAGGGGGTGGCTCAGCCTGGCACCTGTTTACACACTGAGGCCCTCAAGGAGGTCAGAGGACTCCACATAGGAGTCACATCAGACTGGCAGTGACAAGCTGCAGAGGGGTCAACCTCGTGTCTGGTCTGCGGCTGACTTGGTGGGATTCTCTGCACCAGCCTCTAATTTTTCACAGAACCCAGTGGGGAGGTGAAGCAGGCACTGTGATTCCATTTAGAGAGGAACACATGGAGGGGGACGGGTTGGTAGAATTGCTCGAAGCCAACAGGAGCTGCTGGGGAGTGAGGACGGCCTCTGACACACGTCTCACTAAGGAACGAGCCCAGTGCGATCAATATTGAAAACATTTTCAGCCTCAGTAATAATCCCTGTTGGATGACTGCCTGCTCCCTGGCTGCATCTCAGGGAGGTCCCCGGTGTCCCAGGCACTCCCACACCTCAGGTGCCTTCGCTTCTCCCACAGTGCCTCTCTTCCTGTGCTGGCCAACCTCTGCCTCTCTTCTGCGGTGTTTGTCTCTGTGAGTGCCACGTGGGCTGGGGCCTCGTCTCTCTTGCTCTCTGAGACTGCCGGTGCTACAACTGTGTTCCCACGTGTTAGATTTCCACATAAAATCTTTTCGAATAAATGAATAAAGGAGTGAATGATTACTAAAAAGAAAAAGCAAATTCACAGCCATTTAAACGAGAGCACACAAGACAATAACCGTGCAGCTGAAATGCGCGTGCTTCCTTCTGGAGAGCGATGGGACCACTCTTTTGCAAAGATGTCCATCTCAGCATTGGTTACCGTAAAACTTAGAAATATTTTAAGTATCTAGACACGGGGGAGCAGTTAAGTACGCAGTGGTACATCTACACACTTAGGAAAACTATATGAAAATGTTGGTTAATTTGGGGAAAATGCTTATGATATGAGGTTAAGGGAAGAAAGCATACGCAAAATTGCATGCATGATAGGATCTTAACTCTGAGAAAACTCCGCAAGCCTCGGGGAAATCCCCAACATGTTACCAACATAGGTGGTGGGGTCACACGTTCTCGGTATAAATTGTTCTGGTCTCAGTTTTTTCCCCGAATTTTATACTTTTGGGGGGATACACATGTATTATTAGCAAAACCATACAGATATTTTCTTAAGAACAGAAACACACATCAGGATTGACGAATCATGTTGATTTATGTCAAACCCCAGGACAATATCTCCTGACCTTAACTTTTTTTCAATCCCTCCCTCTACGCCAGTCTTCCATCCTCCTCCTTTGCATTGTAAAATGTATTCCTTAAACGCATCTTGATGCTGTTTACTTATTTTCACATTGATGCCTTTTTTGTTGTTGTTTGTTTGTTTTTTTGAGACAGAGTCTCGCCCTGTTGCCCAGGCTGGAGTGCGATGGCACAGTCTCGGCTCACTGCAACCTCAAGCGATTCTCCCGCCTCAGCTACCCAAGTAGCTCGGATTACAGGCACGCACGACCACGCCCAGCTAATTTTTTGTATCTTTAGTAGAGATGAGGTTTCACCATTTTGGCCAGGCTGGTCTCGAACTCCTGACCTCGTGATCTGCCCACCTCGGCCTCCCAAGATGCCTTTTTCTTAATTGCTTGAAATGTGGCTTTGGTTGAAGCTCTCAGCAGGAAAACACAGAACCCCAATGTCAAAAATTTGAAGATGATATTCTGGGCTAGATGTTTTTGGGAAATACAAAGATATACGACAGCATGGTTCCTCCCCTCAATAAATTTTCAGTTGAGTAGCTCTAGTTCGGTCTTTACCTTGGAGGAACTACTTTTACCAAAACCACCAGTGACATTTTCCTGGCAAAAATCCAATGGCCTCATCCCTTTTCTGAGCCTCTGGGCCTCTCGGCCTTCTGCAATGTGACAGTCCCCTCCTTCAAGTCGCCTCCCCAGTGTGGGCTTTGGGGGTGTTCCGCACACACAGTCAGACTGCTTATGACCCGCTGGGTATCTAACTGAACTCCTCTCCTCCTTCTCAGAATCTCTAGGCTCCACCATGACATTAATCAACCCCAATTATCTGACCAAAACCCTGAAAAATCTTTATCATGACACCAGTTGTTCTCCTAACCTTGGGCCCGGTGGCCTAGTTGCCCTCTTCAGCCCAAAAAAGATAAATAACAGAAAACAAACCTCACTGCTGCCTCTCACGTTCAGCCTATTCCCATTTTCTAATGATTCAAGTCTATGTCTTTAGCAGAAACAGGCAAGCCCCCATCCCAGCTCTAATTAAACCACAGCTTCCTCTTCCTGGATGGGGCCTCTCTGACCCACTCACCTGTAGTGGGCTGCGCAAAGTTGTAGCTCAGAATACATGTAGTATCTATGGGCACTTAAAATACGTATTTCCTAACCAAATGGAAATTTTTTTGTAATGTAATTAGCATCTAAAGACAGCATAATATAATTATATCAGCTACTCACTTTGGTCAGAAAATCTTCCTTTTTATCTATTTTAATTGAAAAGTAAACATTGTATATATTTATGGTGTACAATATGTTTATATATATACACACACATTGTGGAAAGGCTACATCAAACATGTATATATAACCTCGCCTTTTTTGTGCACTGAGAATACTTAAAATCTACTCTTCTAGCTACTTTCAAGTATACAATTCACTGTTATTAAATATAGTCACCATGCTGTACAATGGCCCTCTTGAACTAATTCCTCCCATCTAACTAAGATTTTGTATCCTTACACCAGCATCCCCCTAAGCCCCTCACCCCTGCCCCGGTACCCACCATTGTGCTACCTACTTCTATGAGTTGGACGTTTTCAGATTCCACATGTGACTGAGATCATGTGGTATTTGTCTCTCTGTGCCTGGCTTATTTCACTTAGAATCATGTCCTCCAGGTTCATCCACATTGTCACAAATGACAGGACTTCTTTCTTCTTTAAGGCTGAATCTTATCCCATGGTGTACGTCCACCACACTTTATCCGTGTGTCCACTGATGGGACACCAAGACTGATTTTGGATCTGGGCTATTGTGAGCATGGGAGGGCAGACATCTCTTCAATATATTGATTTCAATATTTTTTGGATATATACCCAGTAGTGAGGTTGCTGGATTATATAGTAGCTCCATTTTTAATCTTCTGAGGAACTTCCACACTGTTTTCCATAATGGCTATACGAATTTACCTTCTGACCCACAGTGTACCAGGGTTCTCTTTTCTTTGATGGACATGCTTTTTGATCTTTGATTTGTGCATTTCTCCTGTAATCTCTTATTTTCTCTTCTATTTCTTAATTATGTTTAATAGAACTTAAAATAGTGTTGTGCACAAAGTAAGCTACCCATCCGGCAAAAGAGAGTTTAGACAGTTTTTCAAATAAGGCTGATTTGTAAAAACCTGCTATTAAATACAGATAAGAAATGTTGGTCTGCACTACTCTAACTATCCATCGACACTGGCCAGACTCAGCGGCCTTTTCCCTCTCCACCTCACTCGGCCCCTTCAGCGACCTCACTGCTATTGCACATTTTACATGGTTCTCAAGCTTTCCACATGATGCTTGAGTGCTGCCAGGGTTTAAAAGTGTCTTTTTTTTTTTTTTTTTTTTTTTTTTTTTAGATGGAATCTTGCTCTGTCACCAGGCTGGAGGCTGGAGTGCAGTGGCACGATCTCGGCTCACTGCAACCTCCACCTCCCGGATTCAAGCAATTCTCCTGCCTCAGCCTCCTGAGTAGCTGGGACTACAGGCACATGCTACCATGCCCAGCTAATTTTTGTATTTTTAGTAAAGACGGGGTTTCACCATGTTGGCCAGGATGGTCTTGATCTCTTGACCTCATGATCCGCCTGCCTCGGCCTCCCAAAGTGCTGGGATTACACGTGTGAGCCTCCATGCCTGGCTAAAAGTGTGTTTTCATCCCAAGTCCTTTCACTTTATTCCACAGGGGAGTAGATCAGTAGAGTCTTCTTAACGGTTTGTCCAAGAGCTGCCCCATCTCTCATGCTCCTGACACTTTGGCAGTACTGGTCACTCACTTTGTGGATTGCCTCTCTGTTGGGTGTGTCTGATGTTTCCTCCGGTTGCACTGAGGTTAGTGAATGTTTGGCAGGAATGCCACCGACGGGCATGTGTCCTCCTCACTGCCACGTGTCTGGGGGATGTGATGTCCGTGGTCCTAGGAGTGGTGCTGTTTCCCTGGATCACTTGGTTAAGGTGGTGTTTGCAGGATTTCTCCATCAGCTGCGACAATGAGAATGTCCGGCTTCTCCTCAAAGCCTTGCCCAGTGGTTGCAGTGTCCACCCATGGCTCTTGCTGACAGCAGTTGCTGCTGTAAAGTTTGCCTAGTGATGATTTTGTATTTTTCTCATTCCTTCCACAATCATTAACCTGGGTTCTTCTATAAGGAAGAACCGTCTCTTCTCTGTTGTTTATTATTTATTCAATTATTTATTTACATCAATCTGGACTTAGGGATATTTATTTTTATTCCATGGATTAGAATCCATTATTCTCATTTTTTATTTTGTTGCTCAAATTGCTCCACTTTTGGCCACTGGAAGCTCCTTCAGGTTAGTCATGTGGCTTCTTGTCATACCCCTTTCTTTTTCAAGCACCTCTTCATTTTCTGGCCCCATAAGATGTCTGAGGCTCCTCTGGTATTTTCCCTGCTCCAGGCCGGGAATCGATCCATGAAACCTATACTCACATATTGTTATCCATTTCACAGTCATTTGTAATCCAAATTTATAAACAGTCAAAAGCCAGGCGGTGAACCGCTCCGGACCCCACGGAGCAGGGGCCACCGAATAGCAACGTGAGAAGCATTCTCGCTGCTGCTGGGCAGCACCACTCAACTCTCCCAGGATAAAGCACTTGAAGAGTCTCTTGTGATTCTTATCACGGGCAAAACATTCTAATTGAACTTTTCAAAACTACAGTTTGAATGACACAAGATGGACCAGAACCCCTTGATTTGCCCTTTTGCATTTGAATCCACTGGAGATGCTGGCCCCTGGCGAGCAGGGAGCTGGCCTCTCTGGTCCTGGCTGTGCCCACTCTACCTGGAGCAGCCCCTGACACGCTAAGGAGCTCACCAGTGTGAGGGCAACGAGCAGAGCTCGGCTCACTTCTGTCCCCCTTGGCGGCCCCTCATCCCTCAGCAGAAGGAGTACTGGTGAGCGGCCAAAGAAGGAATTGGTTGCTTTAAAGCAATTCCAGCTTCTGCCAGCCTGGGGAGCCTAAAACCAGGAATCAAACCTCAGTCCTAATTTTTCTAAAAATAGCTCTTAAGGAAATAAGGTTCAGGAAAGCATAAGTCGCTCTGCAGAGTTGAATTCAGGCTGCTGCAGCGGCCAGGAAGCAGGGACACGCCGTGGGACATGTCAGCCAGTGCGTCACTGGCAAGCTTGGTATGTAACGTGCAATCCTTACATGGATTCTGCAAAACCCACTGGCATGCCTATGCCAAATTTATAAACAGTCAAAAGCCAGGCGGTGAACCGCTCCGGACCCCACGGAGCAGGGGCCACCTGATAGCAACGTGAGAAGCATTCTCGCTGCTGCTGGGCAGCACCACTCAACTCTCCCAGGATAAAGCACTTGAAGAATCTCTTGTGATTCTTATCACGGGCAAAACATTCTAATCGAACTTTTCAAAACTGCAGTTTGAATGACACAAGACGGGCCAGAACCCCTTGATTTGCCCTTTTGCATTGGTAAAGCGAGGCCATTTGTGGCATGGATTCTCAGATTCATGAAATGTGGCATCATAAACTGTAAAGAACAGTCCTTTACACTTTCCAGGACAGGTCAACCTCTTAACAGAGCTGTAAAATGCTGCCAGTCCTGGCTCCTGACTGTCTTTGGGATGTGAGAACAAGGAAGCCAATTGAGTTTTCCTCACCTTTGGGAGGCAGTCATAAAAAAGCAAAGTTTAAAGCCAGCTGCAGAGTTCCAACTCTGATACTGACTGCCCTTCCCTCAGGCACCAGCAGACCTTCCAGCCGCCACCCTCGCCGGGCACACATCCACCACCTTCACTCCATTGTCCTTTATGAAGCACCTGCAATGTGCCATGTTCCCTGCGAGGGCCTGGAGGGGCACAGCAGTGAGCGGTGGGCAAGGCCGATGAATGCGCTCCTCTAGAGGGGTTTGCATTTTCTGTATCAGTCTGGGCTTGTGGGTGTTTATTTTGCTCTGTGGGTTAGAACGTAATACTACATCTTTTTTTCTCAGCTTGCTCCAGCTCTTGCCTTGGGCACTACCTCAGGTGGCACTGGTGGCCCTCCATGGGCCCTGTCCTTTCTCCAGCACATCCGTCTTTTCTGGACGGGGAGATAAAGGACTGAGCCGCAATGACAGTACCGGGGAACCAGCATGTCTGAGCTCCAGGAGCTTTCACCAGGCATGACTTAACCTGAGGTCCATGGAGGGGAGGGAGACAGGCCAGTGGGGTCGGGGTGGAAAGTGCAGAGGGGAGAGGGCATGGCGCCTTTGAGGAAGTGAAAGGAGGATGCAGGCTGCGTGCCGGTGGGGCATGTGGCCAGAGGAGGGCTGAGCAGCGGGCAGGCGCCGTGGCCAGGGGATCCTGTGAGGCCAGTGAAGGGGGCTCAGACGCCATGGGGGAAAGGAAGCCATGAAGAGTGTTCAACAGGGCTCCTGCTAGTATTAAATGAACTAATACCTGCTACAGTGTCTGCCACATAGGAGGTGCTCAAAAAACGGTGGCTGCTACTGTTACTATTATTACTACTACTGCTGCTGCGGCTGCCGAGGCTCTGATGCTGCTGCGGCTGTTGCACTGCGACTGCTACCTAAGCTGCTGCTACTCCTGCACTGCAACTGCTGCTGCTGCTACTCCTGCCACAGCTGCTGCAAGTGCCGCTGCTGCTACTCCTGCCACAGCTACTGCAACTGCCGATGCTGCTACTCCTGCCACAGCTACTGCAACTGCCGATGCTGCTACTCCTCCTGCCACAGCTGCTGCAACTGCCGATGCTGCTACTCCTCCTGCCACAGCTGCTGCAACTGCCGATGCTGCTACTCCTCCTGCCACAGCTGCTGCAACTGCCGATGCTGCTACTCCTCCTGCCACAGCTGCTGCAACTGCCGATGCTGCTACTCCTGCCACAGCTGCTGCAACTGCTGATGCTGCTACTCCTCCTGCCACAGCTACTGCAACTGCTGATGCTGCTACTCCTCCTGCCACAGCTACTGCAACTGCTGATGCTGCTACTCCTCCTGCCACAGCTATTGCAACTGCTGCTACTCCTCCTGCCACAGCTACTGCAACTGCTGCTACTCCTCCTGCCACAGCTACTGCAACTGCTGCTGCTGCTACTCCTCCTGCCACAGCTACTGCAACTACTGATGCTGCTACTCCTGCCACAGCTACTGCAACTGCTGATGCTGCTACTCCTCCTGCCACAGCTACTGCAACTGCTGATGCTGCTACTCCTCCTGCCACAGCTACTGCAACTGCTGCTGCTGCTACTCCTCCTGCCACAGCTACTGCAACTACTGATGCTGCTACTCCTGCCACAGCTACTGCAACTGCTGATGCTGCTAATCCTCCTGCCACAGCTACGGCAACTGCTGCTGCTGCTACTCCTCCTGCCACAGCTACTGCAACAGCTGCTGCTGCTACTCCTGCCACAGCTACTGCAACTGCTGCTACTCCTCCTGCCACAGCTACTGCAACTGCTGATGCTGCTACTCCTCCTGCCACAGCTACTGCAACTGCTGATGCTGCTACTCCTCCTGCCACAGCTACTGCAACTGCTGCTGCTGCTACTCCTGCCACAGCTACTGCAACTGCTGCTGCTGCTACTCCTGCCACAGCTACTGCAACTGCTGCTGCTGCTACTCCTGCCACAGCTACTGCAACTGCTGATGCTGCTACTCCTCCTGCCACAGCTACTGCAACTGCTGATGCTGCTACTCCTCCTGCCACAGCTACTGCAACTGCTGATGCTGCTACTCCTCCTGCCACAGCTACTGCAACTGCTGCTGCTGCTACTCCTGCCACAGCTACTGCAACTGCTGCTGCTGCTACTCCTCCTGCCACAGCTACGGCAACTGCTGCTGCTGCTACTCCTCCTGCCACAGCTACGGCAACTGCTGCTGCTGCTACTCCTCCTGCCACAGCTACGGCAACTGCTGCTGCTGCTACTCCTCCTGCCACAGCTACGGCAACTGCTGCTGCTGCTACTCCTCCTGCCACAGCTACTGCAACTGCTGCTACTACCACTACTATTACTGCCGCTGCTACTGCACTGCTCATGTAACTATTGTTATTACTACTTCTCCGTATCTTTGTCATTAACTCCCATTTGGGAAGCTATAATCAAAGTTCTTTCTTCAGTGAGCTCTTTGCATATCTGAGGACCCCCAAACCGGATCCTGGCCCCCCTCCATAACACTTGTTAATCTACAGCGAAGTTGTTCACACTCGATGGGTGCAGTGTGCCAGGGGGTCTGGGCCACCCCTCTGAGGCCCTTCTGGCCTGTTGGGAACTCCAGCATGGAGAGGACAGGCTCGGATGCACAGCCAACCATGAGTCTGTGACTCCGCATGTACTTATTCCCTGCCACTGTGTCAGCCTTGGGTTCATGAGAAGGTGATTTCAACCCAAACGGCCTTGCTCCCTCTAAAGGCATATGCAGAGTGCCCACCCTGTGCCAAGCACTGCTCTGGGGTACAGCAGGGTAAGGTGGCTCCAGGGTCCCCTCAGAGCCTACATCGGGGCAGGCAGAGCACGAGAAGGGTCTCCAAAATAATATGTCAGAACATCCGTCTGTACGTGTTTGCATCTAGAATATTAGAAATGAGCTGAAGCCTAGAGTGCCAGCTAGTAGTGCTCATATTAGCAGAAGTCACAGCAGTGTGTGCAGGGAACCTCCCCGGCCACTGCCACAGCCCACTGTAGGGAGCCCCCTTACATGGATTTGCAGGTTCTGGTTTTAAGCAGAAAACCCCCAAAAGAACTTTCAGCAACAAAACTGAAAGAAATATAATACAATAAAGAGCCAGCCAAAAAATGGTGAGCTGGGCCCCAGCCCAGCACAGGTTTGGTCGGCTGCCTGTCCAGGCCAAACCCATGAAGTGCCGACCAGATCTGAGCAGAAATCACCTCTGCAAGAGAAACCCTCAGAATGGCTATTTGAATATGGATTTCCGTCTTCAGTCCTCAACGCTGCACCCCATGCCGGCGTGTGTTTCACCCTAAGGTCTTAGCCAGTGCTATCAACCCTATCTCAGGGAATGGGAGGTGGGCACCTATGCTCCCTGCCCACATGGAGGTGCAGTGTGTAAATGTTTGGAGGACAGGGACTCAGAGTCACCGAAACCCCACACTCCCAGAATGAATCACTCATTCAATAACATTTATGCAGGCAGCATTTTGGAATCTGACAGCCCCTCACCTGCAGTCCGCTCCCTTCACATCCCAGAGCCCAGGAATTCAGAACTCTCTCCACCAGCCCCTCCGGGGAGGGCTTCCATGGGCCCTCACAGGGCAGCAAGCCACAGAAAACCTGGGGTCTGCCAGGCAGGACCACACAGACAGCTTCAGGACCAGGTCTCTGTTTGCGACCTGGCAAGGCCATTTCTAACTCTGTGACCCTAAGCAAGTTTCCCAGCAGTCTGAGGATGGAACTCGCAGCTTCAGCCTGATGCTGAAGGACATGAGGCTTGAAAAATCCTTGGCGAGTGGGCAGGCAGGGAGAAGGAGGCAGCAGCTGCTGCCTTCTTCTAGTGGCCATCCTGACCTCTGGAGTAAAAATGAGACATATCTCCTTTCCTTTCAGAAGTCGTGAAAAGCACCTCTTCTTTCTAAGGACAATAGGATGAGGGTTAAAAAACTCATCAAAATGCTTCATGCAATGGTTAAATCAAGCTAATTAACATATGCATTGCCACACATTCTTATATTTTAGTGGTGAGAGTACTTAAAGTCCACTATTTTAGTAATTTGCAAGCATACAATACATTGTTATTAATTATATTCACTGAATTGTACAATGGATGCTTTGTACTTATTCTACAATGTTTACGTATTTTCAAAATATATTGTACGCCATAAACATATACAATTTTTGTCCATTAAAATTTGTTGAAATTAAGAAGAAATGAAATGCTTTGCGTTCATTGGTAGAGAAGGTGGTCAATAAGCGTGGAATGGATTCGCAGTCCAGTCACTCGGCCGTGCAGGAAGCCAGCGTCTGGCAAGGGCTGAGTGGCCTGAGGAATTTCACTGTTTTTAGGGCTGATGTCACTTTTCCCTGGCTGCGCACTAGGTCATAGTATGTCTCCAAAGTTGGGATAAACATTTCCTGAGTGCCAGAGTCCCCATTTAAAAAATAATAGTAATGGCCGGGCGCAGTGCCTCACGCCTGTAATCCCAGCACTTTGGGAGGTTGAGGCAGGTGGATCACGAGGTCAGGAGATCGAGACCATCCTGGCCAACATGGTGAAACCCCCTCTCTACTAAAAATACAAATGTTAGGTGGGTGTGGTGGTGCCTGCCTGTAATCCCAGCTACTCGGGAGGCTGAGGCAGGAGAATCGCTTGGGCCAGGGAGTCGGAGCTTGCAGTGAGCAGAGATCGCACGACAGCACTCCAGCCTGGCAATAGAGCGAGACTTCACCTAAAAAAAAATAATTATAATAATAGCAGTTGAAATCCTCGAATTTACAAAATAAAATGTCTCCAAAGACCCAAGGATGAGAACGCGATCACAGAAACAAAGAGAAGGGAAGTCCTGGGGGCTGTGAGCCCAGCTATGCCCAGGGAGCCTGTGGGTTCAGGGAGCAGAGCTGGGGCGTCAAGTTCTCACAGGTAACAGCTTCTCACAGAGCTGGGAGCTTCCTGCTCCTGGAGAGTCCACAGGCCTCCATCAGCCGCAAACATTTCTGGGGGACAGAATGTCACCTTCAGGGAAGAACAGACACACTCCTGAGGGGACTGTAACAGCAACCACTAACCACTCTCCTCCCTGGGATTCTCAGAGCTTCATCCTCTCACTGACTCTGGAGAGAGGAGATGTGCGCAGAGAATTCAGAACCCCTCCCATCGCCACCACCTCCCACAGCCGGAAAGCAAACTACTTATTCCTGGAATGGTTTAGAGAAACACGTGCTGGGGGGCAGGGGGCTTCTCTTACATCTCCTTCTTTCTGGGGGCGCGGGGGGGAAGAGAGAGAGAGATTAAGTCTATTATCACACTACTGTGCCTCACATTCGGGTAGAATTCCATGCCCTCGTTGAGGTGAATGGTGCTCAGTGGTGCTGGGGTGACTGGGCTGGAACACCCGCGTGTGGAGGCACATCTTTTTAAAGGCAACACTTCCTTTGTGCTGCTTCTCTCTTTGCAGTTCAGATTTGGAGAGAACGTGGTTTCGACCCAGGCTCTATTACTTACCTGCTATGTGGCTCGGAGCAAATTATTTAACCTCTTTTGGCATCAGCTTCCTCCTCTGTAACACAGGACACAATATTGATCTGGCAGTGATGAATACAGAATGTGTCCAAGTGCCTGCAACAATGCTGAAGAATGTGTGTGTGTGTATGTGAGTCCTGTATGAGTGTGCATACACTTTGTATGTGTATGTGCATGAATCGTATGTGTGTGTATGTCTGTATGCATGCATTGTGTATATGTACACATGTGCACGTCGTATATGTGTATGCATGCATCGTGTATGTCTGTCTGCACGTGTATGCACACATGTGGGTATGCGTGTATTGTGTGTGCACATGCTATATGTGTATGCATGTTATTGTGTGTGTACACACATAGTATGTGTATGCAAGCATTCAGACATGTGGATGTGTGAATGTATCTGTGCATATGTGCACATGCTATATGTGTATCTGCATGTATTGTGTATGTGTGTGCATATGCACACGTGTAGATGCATGTGTCGTGTGTACATGTGTGTATGTGCATGTGCACACATATGCATGCATGCATTCTGTGTGTGCTTTGCCCTCAGTTTACTCTCACCATATATTTCTGGTGCTGTTATTCTTGGTGTCAAAACAAAGAAGAGGGTTGAGGAGGGACCCAAGGCTGCAGCAGAGCCCCCGGAGTGCGTCCCATGGCCTCCCCATGTCCTCCTCGCAGGGCCGAGGCAGACTTGCCCACTGGAGCAAAAGAGGGGTCAGGAGAGGAGATTGCCTGAGCAGCTGAAATGCCGCCATCATTTATTTGTCAAATCCCCAAAGGTACCCTCTGCCAACTACAGTTTACCGACTCGCATCACAGCAGTCTCCTCTTACGTTATTAAGCTCCAAACAGAGTGCTTTGTTTCTAATTCACCAACACACAGAGCTCCAAAGAACTGAGAGATAGAATTTCATGTCTTGGCATCTCAGCCACCCCAGAGAAAAAGAAGTAAGCAGTCAGCGAGTCCCTGGTCTCAGATAAAACAAAGTATGTTAATTCAGGCTGATTTCTTCTCGCTCCTAAAGGGATTTTATGCTGTGCCAAATGCTGGATGATAAGAACTTCTTCAGTTTTGTTTCTTTAGATCTGTTTCCTTTTAACCTCTACCCCACTGTGAACTTCATTCCTTCATATTAAGAATAACAGTAGATTCAAAATTCTGGAGCAGCACTAGCAAAATATAACGAGAATGTGGAACGCTGGTCCTCACACCACAAAAACAAATGAAATGCAACTTGTTGCTGAATAAACTTAGATTTACTTTATTAGATGACTTTACTATAAGCTTCCCCCGTTTCTGCGGCTTCATGGGATCTTAGCCTGCGTCAGCCAAACCACTTGCTATTTTTCTGTTGCTAAAACCAGGTCGTGTGGTGTCTCAACGAGGAGACGAGAGCTGTACTCTTTTTCTCCTCATCTTCCTCTCGTGGACAGTGCATACTACCAATAATATTTTAGGAGATTCCAGAATTTACCCAAATGGTAAGAAAAGTCATCAATTCCACAAAAGAGTTTGTATTTCAAATATATGTAAAAACTAAACAAAAACTCCAGTACAGTAGCATGCAGCACTCTCAAAGGGAAGGAGGTTTACATCGAGCACCACTTGGTTCTAGACAGGTACCCAGGTGGTAAGTGAAAATTCAGTGAAGTCTAACACAAGATCCTCCACCTTGGCTCTCGTGATACTTGGGCCGGGTAATTCCCAGCTCTGGAGGCTGCCCTGTGCTTTGTAGGGGGCTTAGCACCTTCCCCTATCTTCTTGATGTCAGGAGAAGCCCCCACACCAGGTGTGACAGCCAAAAATGTCTCCAGACAAATGTCCCCAGGGGGCAGTCAGCCCCGGTGGAGAACCACTGTGAGAACCAACTCACTAGTGATCAGTCCTGCACTCCAATAAAAAAGAAACCGGGCTGTTCAATCAAAAGGAAAGATCCACCCAGACGTGCCCCAGGGGGCAGAAGCTCAAAAACTTTATGCCGGGTGAAGAAAGCCAGACATGAAGGATGGCGTGATTCTTTTTATATGAAATGTCCTAAGAAGGCAAACTGATAGAGACAAAAAGCAGATTGGTGGTTGTCAATATGGGGAGTGGGAATGGGAATTCACTGTATTCACTGCATATAGGCAGCGGGATCTTACTGGGGCAATGAAAATATTCTGAAACCAGATGATGGAGATGGCTGCACACTGCAGTAGGTTTACTAAAAATCCTTGTACACTGTAGGCGAGTGAATTTTTTTTTTTTTTTTTTTTTTTGAGGTGGAGTTTTGCTCTTGTCACCCAGGCTGGAGTGCGATGGCTTGATCTCGGCTCACTGCAAACTCTGCCTCCCGGGTTCAAGCAATTCTTCTGCCTCAGCCTCCCGAGTGGCTGGGACTACAGATGCATGCCACCACACCCAGCTAATTTTGTATTTTTAGTAGAGATGGGGTTTCTCCATGTTGGTCAGGCTGGTCTCGAACTCCCGACCTCAGGTGAATTTTATGGTATGTGAATCTTACCTCAATAAAGCTGTTTTCAAAAAGCATGAAAAAAATTAGGAGAGGATGGTGTTTTGTAGGAGAAGAAAATCAAAATAGGAGTTAAAACCAATCCCAGTGACTTCCTTTAACTATGGGAAATAATCTCCTAAAAACAGAGAGATCAGATTCCCCACATTCTAGCTAGCCAAATGACCGTTACGGCAAGCCCACAATATTTTTGCTGGTCAGACAGCTGCAGTGTCTGTTAGCACCTGATGCAACCCAATGGGCTGTCTAATGAGCTCTGGTGTGTATCTTTCTGTGGAAAATAATGTGTATGCATGGTCACCCAAGTTCAACACGGCCAGGGGTGGGGCCGGGGGTCAGCACGGGTGTGTCTTGTAAGGCAGTCTGTGTTGCCTGTTAGGATATAAAACAATTGGTATCAGCAATGAAACATGCCCAGTGTGACCTGCTATTTAAAGAGGAAAAAGGCTTGAAACCACTCAGACGCCCAGAATTCCCCATTGCCCACTCAAAACTCTACCATAGTAAAAAAAAAAAAAAAAAAAAAAAAAAAAAAGTTTCTCTGTCCTTTGGTTTGCATTACAGAACAGCTGCTGTTGCTATTCAAAGACATTCTGAGGACTCTTAGTGTAAATGGGGTAACCCATGTCTTCTTGGAGAATTCAGCTGCTGTTAATTTACTGTAAAAAATATCCACTCTTTTAGAGACCTAGAGATTTTCAGGGGGTTCATGACCTGTCTGAGAGCCACGAGATGGGTGTCTGTCCACTACTGGAGGCCTTTCCTGCCATGTTCTAAATATGAACGTGGCTGTAACACTCAGCCCTGAGTCAGGAGGCAACCTGTGCCGTTTCAGGAATCTGTAGCTCTGTGGAGCCAAGCACCACGAGAAATGCGTAGAAACTGGGGTTTTGGGATAAATTATCCTGGGACGCCAATCTGGCAAAGTTTTGGATAAAGAAAGGTGATAACAGAAAATTCTATCATTTTCGAGACATGTTGTCGCAGCGACAATG
The DNA here is from genome assembly GCF_000001405.40 of Homo sapiens. Lineage (NCBI taxonomy): Eukaryota > Metazoa > Chordata > Mammalia > Primates > Hominidae > Homo > Homo sapiens. Next base: position 364,335 of record NC_000006.12, on the reverse strand, counting down.
AAGAGCGGAAATAGTTTTCATGATTCTAATTTCTCCCAAAGGCCACACATCAAAAAGACACTTCTATCTTTTAATGACTCTCCATCTGGTATGTTACAGAAGAGAAAACTCTGAGAAATCCTGCCCCTACTCTAAGGACTGGGAAACTGTGGACGGGAGAGGCTGCACTGAGCCTGAGCAGAAGGGCCAGTGAGGCAGGGGACGCACCCAGCAGCGTTTGACAACACTGCAGGGAGAGCCACCAAAGTCACAAATCATGCCAAGCGCGAGGTCAGGATCCACCTGATCAGATCCCACTCGTTTCCTAGAAAACGGCGTGTAGAACGTTCTCTCTGGTTTTTGTTGACCAGCAGGCTCTGAAGCGTCACAGGACAGCAGTGTCTATTCTGTGAAATGCACGTCGGGGATTTTACGGTGAGGTCTCCTTGAGTGAGATTTGGGCAACAACCACACTAAGAACAAGGGTCTCATAAAATACGCAAATAAGCAAAAGGTGATGTCGCTGCAGAAGCCACAGTTTGTTTGTTTTTACCTTAAATCTCGCCTGCTTCCTTTTGGCAAATAGATAAATAAATATAAGCTTCAGAGGTCGTTTTGAGAAGTTTTCTTTCCACACGTGAACATTTGTCTAGTGCTATTATCAGATCAAAAAGTATACATCTGGGACAAAAGAAAATCTTCACCACCCAAGTGATGCCAGTCAGGCGAATTTCCCAAATCTCAAGTTGTTTTTTACTTCCGAAGAATGTCATGGTTTTCTGCTTCCTAACCTTTGAGTCTGAAGCTGGTAGACGTCGAAGAGGGCGGTGGGTTTTCTGCTTCCTAACCTTTGAGTCTGAAGCTGGTAGACGTCGAAGAGGGTGGTGGTGGTGTGCCGAGTCAGTTCAGTCTGGCTCAGAAAGTCAGGAGGACGCCCACCATTCCACTGAATCACTGTCTCTTTAAACGGGTGGTTGTCACAGCCACTTTTTAATCGCCCCATTGCTTCTTTTCCGATTGAAATTTTTCTTTTGAAGATCATTCTTTTCCAAGGACTTGCAAGCTTTTCTTTTTTTTTTGTAAAAGTTTTGGGGCAAAACGATTCTTACCTCTGGGGCAAGAGGACATTGGCTGTACCGCCTTAGAAGTATATTCATTTGTGTTTGATGATTTGTATTAGACTGAATAGCAGTCACTGGTTCAGAATTGCATTTCTTAGAATACATAATTCAGTGCTTGGTCTGTCCAACTATGGATGAAGCGGCGCCCTCTGTCCACCTCAAGTGCTCCCCAGAGCACGCCCTTCTGTTGGAGCATCTGCGCCTG